>NC_000012.12:27542735-27695430 GCF_000001405.40 Homo sapiens | reverse complement strand
AAAAATATTTGGGCCGGGCATGGTGGCTCACGCCTGTAATCCCAGCACTTTGGGAGACCGAGGGGGGCGATTCACGAGGTCAGGAGATTGAGACCTTCCTGGCTAACACGGTGAAACCCCGTCTCTACTAAAAATACAAAAACAAAATTAGCCAGGCGTGGTGGCAGGTACCTGTAGTCCCAGCTGCTTGGGAAGCTGAGGTGGGAGAATGGCGTGAACCCAGGAGGCGGAGCTTGCAGTGAGCTGAGATTGTGCCACTGCACTCCAGCCTGGGCAACAGAGCAAGACTCCGTCTCAAAAAAAAAAAAAATGGCGTCTGTAACAGTTTCCTGGTATTTTCAACCAGGTTCTAAGAACAAATTGATTTTTTGAAGTGGTGACATCTAGTCACATTAAAATAAAATCCAAATAAAGTAAGTTCAATACAGTTACCACATAATGAATGGTAGAGTTTAAAGAAAATTATTATTAGCATCAAATCAATTGTTATGAATAAATAGTAATTTGATATTACAAGTTCTTTAATGAATACCTTGGTAACTTGCTGACAACTTAAAAGATAATACCACTGATATTCAAATACAGTTTATAATCAAGTCCAGTGGCAGATACTGAACCGCCCACCTCCACCTCAATTTGTGAAAACCTGTCTTTTGTAGGGTTGGCTACCATGGGTAATTACGCAGCACTGAATAAAAAATAGAATATTTTTCTAATACTTCTACAAATATAATAAACACAGTAACAGTTTTTGCTGCAGCGATTTTCTTTACAAAGAATATTTGGGCCCAGTGCTACAGAAAAACATGAACTACATCTTATCGTCACAAAATAGCCATTATAAAATGAATTTTGCAGCCTCTGTTTTTTTGAACTTTGAAATAAAATGTTCAGACAAATATTCAACTTTTTAAAAACCTCCATTCATTGATAGCCTGAGAAATGTACAATGAACATGTTTAGGCAGACTGCTAGTATTTTGCTGTAATGACACAGTTAACAAAGAGAAAAGAAACAATACTGTAAAGGTTTCTGCTTTGCTTTTGGCTTCCTCAAAAACTATTTCTACAAATTTTGGGGAGAGGAGGTGATTCTGAATGTATTCAAGTTAGTGGTAGGCCAGGCAGAGTGGCTCACACCTGTAATTCCAGCACTTTGAAAGGCTGAGGTGGGAGGATCACTTGAGGACAGGAGTTTGAGACCAGGCTGGACAACATGGTGAGACCCTGTTTCTACAAAAAAACTTTTTGAAAAATCAGCCAGGTGTGAAGGGTGGGGTGGGGTGGGAGGCCACACACCTGTAATCCTAGCTATTAGGGAAGCTGAGGTGAGAGGATCACTGGAGCCTAGGAATTCAAGGCTGCAGTGAGCTATGATCACGCCACTGCACTCCAGCATGGGCAACAGAATGAGACTCTGTCACTAAAAAAAAACAATAATAATAAAAAAATAACAGGCTGGGCGTGGTGGCTCATGCCTATAATCCCAGTACTTTGGGAGGCTGAGGCGGGCAGATCACAAGGTCAGGAGTTCGAGTCCCAGCCTGGCCAATATGGTGAAACCCTGTCTCTACTAAAAATGCAAAAATTAGCCAGGCATGGTGGTGCATGCCTGGAGTCCCACCTACTTGGGGCTGAAGCAGAATGGCTTGACCCAGGAGGTGGAGGTTGCAGTGAGCCAAGATCATGCCATGGCACTCCAACCTGGGTGACAGAGCAAGACTCCATCTTAAAAAAAAGTATACTAATGTCCCTCAAGTTCTTCCATATGAGGTAAAGGGATCCAAGATTAAGGTTGAAATTCTTAAACTGTTCAACAATTTTGTGGTGTCATCAAAAAGGAATATTTCATATATATTAATTTAGCCTCAATGATCAACATTGTTAAAAGTCAGTATGGAGAAAGATCATTCTGACCTCTTCAGAAACCAGCTGGTATATGAACATTCTGATCACCAGATTGTTTTGAAAACGTGATCTTTTCACCATCGTCCTTAGGTCACAAAATAAAAGTTCTATTTTCTATGTACTGTATATATACATATATTTAGAAAAATATATAAAAATAAGACAATAAGAGGCAAGTGGAGGTGTGGCTGGCATTTAGTGGGCACACTGAATGCTTAAAGAAGTTCCACATATTGATTCTGAAATCATATAATGTCCTACTTAGGTGGCTACAGTGAACACTGATGTAACAAAATCATTCACATCCTGGTTACTGTTCCTCAAATCCTCCATACCGCGGATATGAATGGAAACACTCTGGTAAAATACTCATCTTAAATGCAACACTTTAAATATAATATATCACAGATTTTTACATTAAATAGAAGAAAAACAATTATACTCTCATTCACCAGTGTCTTATTTTTTGTGGCAACTTCAGAATCGGCACATTACTCCTGCTTTCTGTTTAAACTTCTCGACAGCAGAAGTTGGAACAACAAACAATAGACAATCCGCTGCCTGTTGTATATACTGTGAGTGTTTGGAAAAGCAAGTAGAAAAAAGACTAAGCACTCCTAATGTTCATCCAGGTGCTACGGTCAAACGTTTGAGTCTTCATCTGTAATGCTGGCACTGGGGGAACGGGCAGCAAAATCTTTAAACATGTCATCTTCTTTTAACATGTGCTGGAAAACAAGGAGACAGGGAGTCACACTGAGAGCCAAGAGCTCAGAGCTACACATTCTCCAAGAGACATGTGGTCCTTTGGGGTTGTTATAAAAGACATTTATAGAATAACATTTTCAATTCATTTCACAAACTCACCGTCAGATTGTTGATGCCTTCAGAGAATGCACCTATCTGTCTCACTGTCCCTTCTGAATCTTCCATCTGCAAATAACAAACCATAACATGACATAAGTGTTTTCACAATTTCAGGGAAAGTGCAGCAGGAGGAACAAAAGTCTAAGAAGAAATAATGCAAATAGCACTGAATGGGGTAAGAGCAACAGAACACTTCTGGTGATAATCTCCTTTCACCACTGCAACTGGAAGTGAAAAATTAGAAGAGACACTTTACTGACACAGCTAGTCTAATGCCTTTGCTAATAGTAGCAAAGCATTGTTGATTAGAGGGGAAATATGCGGTCCCACGACTTTAATCTGAAAAGGCTAGGTAGAATAACCTGTCCATTCCTAACATGTTTTAATACAGAGATGGCAAAATATTGGTAAATATGACAGGCTTTGGAGCCAAAGAGACAGGTTGGGGACCTTGGGCAAGTTACTTAGCTCTCTGTGCCTCAGTTTCCTTATCTCCAAAATGAGAATAACAATGCTCTCCATGTCTTAAGGTTACCATAAACATAGTATGCATTAAGTGCTTAGGATGGTACCTGGAAGATATAAGTGATCTCTAAGTGTTCACTATTATTATCTGTATTTTTAGTTATTTGAAGAAAATGTCCTTGATCAGACACAGTATACAAAGTTCCCATTTAGTGTCTGAATGATGGAAGAACTCGCAAAAAGTTATACAGTGTTGGATTTACCTGCTCTAACCGGTCCAAATCATCTTCCTCATACAGGCGCATATCCAAACCAGGTTTAAATCCTTTCTTAGATGCACTTCCTGATGCCTGTCCCAATTCCATTGGACAAACATATTCTTCACCATCTTCCTGTTTCTTCTTTCTCAAATTCCCAAAATTGCTAAAGGCAAGTTTCTTTGGCTTTAAAAGAAAAGCAAACAAAAACATCCAAAGGATTTGATAAAATTCATATAATCAAGGCCTGATAACATGTGATTTTTTTTTGCGTTGCCCCCTCCCTCCTATATGTATAATTTAATTATTTACCCCATGGTAGAGAGAAAAGTAGCTGGATGTTTAAATATGGATAAAAACAAAAGGGCATCCTAGGCATATAAATGATGCAATGATAAATGACCCTTGTTATGAATCTCAGGAAATTAACCTTATTCTTCTTATTCACGCCAAATAGCTGAATAGTCACCGTGATAAACAAAATATGGCAAGAATAATTTGATTACATCATTACTATTATTTTTAGAGACAGAATCTTGCTATGTTGCCCAGGCTGGCCTCAAACTCCTGGGCTCAAGGGATCCTCCTGCCTCAGCCTCTGGAGTAGCTGAAACTACAGGCACAAGCCACTGCACCTGGCTTCATAGTTTTGATTAGACAGGACTTAATGCAATGAGATTTCTCACAGCTGAATCCAATTTTGCAAGGTTTTTCAATCTAAGATTAGCAAAATAGAATAGACTTCACTATATTTTTTCTTTGGGTGAGGCTATAATTATCTTGTATGCCTATTCTGCTTCCATAACAGGACTGGTGACTGCTAAAAGAATTTTTTGGAGAGGAAACATCAGTGATACTTAGAAGAGAAACTCCATGATGGTCACTGGGTTGGTCACTGGATACTCAGGCAGATAGAGGGGGTAAAAAAAAATTAAAAAGAACTTTGGCACAAATTTCTGGAGGACCCAGTAACCCATCAAGTTGGTTGGGATAACATATTTAGAAGAGTTAATCTAGGATTAATTTTAAAGAAGAAAAAGTAATCTGAATTTGGTATGATCCATAAATCCAGGTAAACTAGGAAATACCCATTCTCTTCTGGCCCACCTTCAATCATTTTTAAAGTGTATTTTCCTATTTACGAGGCTGGTCAATCATAAGCCAGAGAAGCTAAATCTGTACAAGAGAAACCTCTCTTCTGTACTTGATTTATAAAAACAGAACAACTGCAATCAATATTTGGACCCAAGTTATGGGCTGTCTGCATTGCCAATACATGGATTATGGAAGCCAATATTATGCTGTTCATTATTATTTTTTTAGAGGCAGAATCTTGCTCTGTTGTCCAGGCTGGAGTGCAGTAGCATGCTCATAGCTCAATCAGAGCTCATTGCAGCCTTGAACTACTGGACTCAGGTGATCCTCCTGCCTTGGCCTCCCAATGCACTGGGACTACAGGCATGAGCCACCATGCCCACCTAAGAGGGAACACCCAAAAAGGGACATGAACCTTGGACCCTCAGATTAAAAGTCTGATGCTCTACTGACTGAGCTATCTGGGTGCATTCTCTTAATTATTATACTTTTAAAAGATATATACTCAGTTGTCCCTCAGTATACACAGAGCATTAGTTCCAAGACCCCCATGTATACCAAAATCCGTACATACTCAAGTCCAGCAGTACCCGTGTACCTAAAAAGTTGGGCCTCCCTATATGTGGGGTTTGCATCCCTCCACATTTGCTTGAAAAAAAAAAATCCGAGTAGGAGTGGACCTGTGTAATTCAAACTCATGTTCTTCAAGGGTCAACTGTTCCTTCAACTTGTTAGAGTGGGCAGATAGCTAGACATGAGGGGAAGCCCCTGAGAAAAGAGAGGTCTGGAAAATCTCGCACCCCAGAAACCACCCAAAACATGCATGCTCCATTTGAGCAGAGAGGAGGGGAAATACCTATGCAGAAAGGAACGCCCCTTAAGACGCCCAGTAATCACTCACTCTGCAGATCACCTGCCAGAATGTAGCTAGCTGCATGCTGATAAAGAGGGGAAGAAGGTAAAGGAGAATTCCTAAGAGAAACGCAGGTACAGTACGTATAGATTTGACTGGTATACAACCTTCCTGGGGCGGCGGGAATGAGCAATGCAGCCTTTAGGTGGAAGTGCAGCCAACACCCGGCCCACGCATGCGCACCAACTATAGTTAAGGGAGGGTCCCACAAGCCTGGGTTGGGAACTAGGCAGGGAGAAGGCAAGGACTCAAGGCAGGAGCGGGAAAACGAGATAAAAAAGGCAGAGACTTAACACAGTGGTGAGAGCTTCAAGAAAAAACTGGACATCATAAAAACCCAATGCAGAACTCTTGGGCTCATTCTCTTTCAGCAGCCCGCTGTGCCTTGGTTTTTGGAGTGTACTGTCCCTTTAAATAAACATTGTTACTGCGACCCTGCTGTTTTCCCTGCAGGATCAGCCCCTGTACTTCTTCTTCTTTTTTTTTTATTCTTACAATAAGCTCTTTGCTCCCTATTTCCCTTCAATAAAGCTCTCTATCTGTCAACTGTCTATTGGCCAACATCTTTCTCCCAAGACAACTAAGCGCTGAGGATTCCTGCATCTGCTGGTAAGGAACCCACCCACAAAACTTAGTAAACCCCAGAAAACAGAATAACCAGGTAACCGACAAAACGTTGCCTTTGCGCCAAGCAATTATTAAACCGTATGAGCCTGAACCAACCTTCACTTTGGCAGTAGCTGTTAGAAGTACATAATCCGGCAGCTCCATGGCATCTCGCTTCTGGTGCTGTGCCTCAGCCCCAATCAGAAGGTTGAAATGAGTGGCCAAATGTCTTCGCAGCAAAGTCTTATTGGGTGGGATGTTCAATAACTGAGCCATTGTTTCTACGTTAAAACGAGGCTCTAGAACCTGTTTAAAGAAAAAAAAAAAAGCTTGTCAAAAGTCACCACAAATCATACATGTTTGTATTGTGCTTTATAATTTGCAAAGCTTTCTCTTAGGTTATCTCCAATGATCCTCTCAACAGCCCGGTGAGGTAGACACAATATGGACTTTGATCTTTAATTTACATATCTTTTCTCCATTTCTCCCAAGTTAGTGAGTGATAGAGCTGGTCCTGAAATCCAGGCTTCAGGCATCCCAATATCAGTGCTCTGCCTCTCTAGGGTGCTGTCTGTGGGAGCCACCTCCTTAAGCAACATTAACATGCAGAAATACAATCTGCATCCTTGCAGGGGTTTTCAAACATGATCATATGAGAGAAAGCAGCTACATGTTATTCAACATGAAAGAGGACAATAAAAGAGAACTGGCTTTAAATTCAATCTAGAGTTATAAGATATCAATACAAATACTCTGAAAGTAAAGGTTTACTAGAAATAGGGCAGGAGGGTTGAGTCAGATGACTTTAGGATTATGATAAGCAAAAATTGATAATATCCTACTGACTAGACTAAAGGAAGCAAAGTAAGTCAATTTTAAATTAAATCAGAGCTTTACCATGAGCCCACCATGGACACCACTGCCTCTGAGATTGGGCGCATATTCTGCCAAGTCCACGGAGCGCAGCCACTCCATCACTCGATGGTTAGTCCACTTCTGAACTTCTGATGGGGCGATGGTATTCTATGGGAACACACAACCAGGATCCTAAATATTAAATTGCATTTTCTGTCTAAAAAGTCTGCTCCATGGAGTACAGTTACTCAACAACCCACTAAATGCAAAAAGAAAGGGAAAAATTCTCTTTTAAAGAATTTCTGTCATAGTTTGAGTTTCAAGCTTTCTTATATACTAATAAAGCATTGCTTTAGGAAAGGAAGTCTTTTTTTTTTTTAAGACAGGGTCTAATTCTCTTACCCACGCTGGCGTTGCAGTGGTATAATCAGGGCTCACTGCAGCCTCCATCTCCCAGGCTCAGACGGATCCTCCTACCTCAGCCTCCTGAGTAGCTGGGACCACCAGCGTGCACCCACCATGCCTGGCTAATTTATTATTATTTTTGTAGAGACAGGGTCTTCCTATGTTGCCCAGGCTGGTCTTGATCTCCTGGGCTCAAGTGATTCTTCTGCCTTGGCCTCCCAAAGTGCTGGGATTATAGGCATTGGCCACTATACTTGGCCAGAAAAGGAAGTCTTTATAGTGATATTTATCTCTGTTGATTAGAGTCAGGAAAAAAAAATACACCCAAGAAAAGGAAGAAGCATAACTGAAAAAGAACCCTTGGCTTTAGTTACACAAGGGGAACCGTCATGGAGAGAAAAGGAAGGAATACAGAAAAAGCCTAAGAAGTAAATGAGGCTGGATTTTAAGGCTTTTCCTGCAGGCTCCAAGAAAAATGGCTCTTAGTTTCGACACATGGACAGTCCCATGCCTGGGAAGTGCATGCTTATAAACCTCAATCTTAAAACACTACCTCATCAGATGGCCGCCTCCGTAGACAGTTTGGTTCAAAGTTATTGATCCTCAGGACCTGGATGGCCCTTTTGATACTGAGATGGTGTAGCACACTTACAACCTTCAGAGACAGTAAGTCATCCTGCAAAAAAGAACAAAAGGAGGAGCTCACTGTGCTGGCCTGTAGCAGGAGGACTTTCTTAGGGAATCTCAGAAAACTGGAGTAAAAGGAGAAGAGCCCCTCAAACCAATATGCCCCAAGGTCTTGTCAGAACCCACTTTCCCATTTGGAACAAAATCTTCCCCCAAACCCCAGATTAGTATTTTTTGCCAATGAAGCTGACTTCCACCTGTTTCTCTCTCTTCCAGATGCTCTGAGATCTGTAGAACCCCAGGGCTCTGAAAAACACAGTTAGAAAAGCACTTGCTGGGTCACTACAAAAGGTGATCTGCTTTGACTTGATCTGCACATACTACAAACAGGGAATTTATTTGTTTCCTCTTTAGTTTTGAGAACTTTATCGGTGGATAAAGTACTTAGGCTTTGGATAAACTGCCCTCTCTGTTTCCTTTCAGCAGATAGTGAAGAGCGAATGATGCTCATTGGTGAACATGATCAAGAGTTGGCTTTCTTTTTTCATCTTTTTTTTTTTTGGAGAGATAGGATCTCACTATACTGCCCAGGCTATCTCAAACTCCTAGGCTCAAGCAGTCCCCCGGCCTCAGCCGCCCAAAAAGCTGGGATTACAGGCGTGAGGCACCGCTCCTAGCAAGGCTGGGTTTTCTGAACTAAGGCACATCATAATTTTGGGGAAAATCAGAACAGTGCTCTTATTATACTATTCCCTGACCTTAATAATTCTCTAGTTCTAAATTATTTTTTAGTAAGGACCTGTCTGCTATTGAATAGCTCTAGATTATTATGGTTTATCTAGCAGACATTGTGAACAATTTTGGCACAACTATAATCAATCAGTGCAAAGGTTTTGGTCAGAGTCAAGGAGAGAAGAAAAATGAAGTTATAAGTATCACATATATATATTACCAATCAACCCCTTCAAGGAAGAATTTTCACCAGTCTGTGGCTCTTGGGAATATTTTCAAATATACCAAACACACCAAAACAAATTATTTCAGAAGAAGGTGATATTGGGAGCAGTATGAAGATAAGCAACAGTCTACTTCCAAACACACCCAGAAAATAAACAAGGAAAGCATCCATTTTAGACACACCTTTCTGATAAAACACTTCTCATGAAAGAAAGAAAAAAATGTAATCTACTACAGAAATATTTAATAAAAATATTAATCAGTTTAAATCCTTGAGGCTACTAACCAGGCAAAAATTATTTCCTGAAGTTTTTCTGGAGTAATTCCTTAAAAGTAGTGTCTTAAGACATGTTAGAAAGAGTACTTATTTTAATCTAGGATTGAGACACCCATTCCAAACATTTCAGTCTGGACTCTTTTCATCTAACTAGTCTGTCAGCTTAAAAAAATATCTGAATGCACAATGTTTACAGTGTGATTAAAATGTTAATTATTTTTGAAATTCTTTATACTTCGAAGGATTTTAAAAAGAAAGTTTTATTTTATATCAAAACAGACTTTCTGAGTGATTTTCTTCCCAATTTTTTTAAAACTTTTTATTTTAAAATAATTTTAAATTTGTGGAGGAGTTGCCAAAGATAGAATAGAATTCTGTATACCTTTCACTCAGCCTCCTCTAATGTTAACATCTGACATAATCATGATTACATTCATCAAGACTAAGAAATTAATGTACAATTGACTAAATTGCAGACTTTATTCACATTTCACCAGTTTGTCCAGTAAGGTCCTTCTTCTGTTCCAGGATCTAATCCACATTAAAACACATATTTTGTGACTTAGGATTTCTGGGGTCAAATTTTCCAGGGTCATTTACTCTTTTATAGCCATTTCACAGATGCTTCTTGTGATTTTAAGCTTGAATTTGTTCACATTCTCAGGGGGAACATACTCACACTTAGAGAGGGAGGCAAATATTTACTGAATGTGTTCTAGTCATAATCGTGAGCTATTAAAAGCAGGGATCTTGAAACAGCCTGAGTTCAAACTCTCTATGACTTTCTATTGCTAACTGTGGAAACTTGGTTACCAAGTTACCCAACCTCTCGATTCCTTCCTTTATACATGTAAAAAAGTAGGGATAATAATAGTATTATAATACTATAGATACACAGAGTGTGTGTGTGTGTGTATATGGATACACACACACATATATACAAACATGCATATATGTGTATGTGTGTGTATATATATATATACATACTCTATGTATCTACAGTATTACATATGTGTGTATAATACTATGTATATACAGTATTACATAATTATATAGTATATATGTGAACAAATTCAAGCTTAAAATCACAAGCAGCGTATGTGAAATGGCTATAAAAGAGTAAATGACCCTGGAAAATTTGACCCCAGAAGTCGTAAGTCACAAAATGTGTGTTTTAATGTAGTGTCCTAGATTAGATCCTGGAACAGAAGGAGGACCTTACTGGAAAAACTGGTGAAATGTGAATAGTCTTCAGTTTAGTTGATTGTATTAACATCTACGTTAATTTCTTAATTTTGATGAATGTAATCATGATTACGTAAGATGTTAACGTTAGAGGAAGCTGAGTGAAAGGTATACAGAATTCTAGCTTTGGCAACTCCTCTGTAAATCTAAAATTATCTTAAAATAAAAAGTTTTAAAAACTTTTTAATATATATTATACACACTATAATAATATTAGTAATATTAACTAAAAGGGTTATTGAGAATCCAGTATTAATATGAGCAAAATGCTTAAAAGGATGTTTGACACATAGCAAATGTGCAACATACTACACATATTAGTATTATTTCACGCAGGTTTATGTGATGTGCTCATCAAGGTAAGGGGCTTGGGTTCAATGACAGAGAAGAAAAATCCATGAACTGAACTCCAAATTTTTTTGACATTGAGAAATGCCTACTTAAGTTGGCTGTTTAAAACTTGCTACTTACTTGAAAAAGATTATACTTAGGGTAGTTAGGTCTATAGCCTACTTCACAAAAAGCTGTTTAAATAAAAGAATTTTAGGCCGGGCACAGTGGCTCACGCCTGTAATCCCAGCACTTTGGGAGGCCGAGGCAGGTGGATCTCCTGAGGTCAGAAGTTCCAGACCAGCCTGGCCAACATGGCGAAACTCCATCTCCACCAAAAACACAAAAATTAGCCAGGAGCAGTGGTGTGCACCTGTAATCCCAGCTACTCGGGTGGCTGAGGCAGGAGAATCACTTGAACCTGGGAGGTGGAGGTTGCCATGAGCCAAGATTGTGCCACTGCGCTCCAGCCTGGGCAGCAGAGTGAGACTCTGTCTCCAAAATAAATAAATAAATAAAAGAATTTTAAGTAGAACAAGGCCAGGCTCGGTGGCTCACGCCTGTAATCCCAGCACTTTGGGAGGCCAAGGTGGGTGGATAACGAGGTCAGGAGATCGAGACCATCCTGGCTAACATGGTGAAACCCCGTCTCTATTAAAAATACAAAAAATTAGCCAGGCATGGTGGCAGGTGCCTGTAGTCCCAGCTACTTGGGAGGCTGAGGCAGGAGAATGGCATGAACCCAGGAGAGGGAGGTTGCAGTGAGCCGAGATCGCACCACTGCACTCCAGCCTGGGCGACAGAGCGAGACTCCGTCTCAAAATAAAATAAAATAAAATAAAAATAAAAATAAAAATAAATAAATAAAGAGAATTTTAAGTAGAACATTAATAGTGGTATGGAACCTAAAACAAAGTTCTCCTGGAATCCATCTTTCTCACTGCTGTAAAGCAGGGAATAGTCCTACACATTGGCTGGAGGGCTAGAAATGTACAATAATGAAGGAACCAGAGTAGAAGTCTAGCCTTCCTCCCTCCTCCTTTAACCCCAGTAACTCCTGCTGTAGCAGAACTAGGCTGAAGTGAGACGGGTGATAGGGTTTCAGGTAACAGTTGTCCAGAGTGGAAAGGAGAAGACAAGTCCTTGAAGATGTCAGGTCAAAAGGGTGGCCTCTTCCAAATGGTCATTGCACATAGAAACCCATAACTTAGAGATAGCTTGGGCTTAAAAATTCTACATTCTATTTAAAAAATATCTTTAGGCTGGGCGTGTTGACTCATGCCTATAATTCCAGCACTTTGGGAGGCCGAGGCAGGCAGGTCGCTTGAGGTCAGGAGTTTGAGACCAGCTGGCCAACATGGCGAAACTCCGTCTCTACTAAAAATACAAAAAAATTAGCTGGGTATGGTGGCGTGAGCCTGTAATCCCAGCTACTCGGGAGGCTGAGGCAGGAGAATGGCTTGAACCTGGGAGGTAGAGGTTACAGTGAGCTGAGATCACGTCATTGCACTCCAGCCTGGGTGACAGAGCGAGACTCCATCTCAAAAGAAATAATACAAAAAAAATCTTTATGAGATATAATTTGCATACCATAAAATGTACCCATTCAAAGTGTACACTTCAGTGTTTACTTTGTTGAATGTATTACATATAAAATCAACCTTCTGGAGAGCTTAGTTTAAATTAGGCTTCACTTAGCTTACATTGGGGTTTCAAATTATCCCAAGCCTGTTCAATCACAATCACCAAATGCTACAACTTCAGCCTCATGGGAAATATGCCTGCCACTCTCCTCAAGTTCAAGCAACAGCTTCAAACTCTGGTGGAATCACTGAAAACACTGTGTTTGGCTTACTCAATTCCTGTGTTTTTCAGAGAAAAAAAGTTTTCCTCCCCCAAACCCCAGGAGTGAGTCACTTACAACAGTCATGTAATGTAGCATTCGACCATCAACCCGTCCTTCATCAAACTGGGTCTTATATTGAGGGAGGCCAATGTCATCCAACCATCCTAAAAGAGAGAGGCCAGTGTTGCTACCATGCCACAAAACATCTGTTCTTGTGATTAAAAAGAAAAAGCAACTATGTATATAATTATTTCATTTTGTTAGAATAAAAACTTCTTACTAGTGACCCAGTTGAAATCCAGCTTCCCATGATTGGTTTCTTCTTCAGATCCCAGGGCTTGGAGTGCTAGCTGGAGTTTCTTTCGATGAAGTGAATGCTTGATTCCAAGTTCCTGAAACAATAAACATTGACTTTATAATTCTATCTGTATAGGCTGGGTGCCACTGGCAAAGGATGCAAATTTCTCCAAAATGAAGCTAGCATTAAAGACCCAATTCAATACTGAATTACAATCCCAACTTGGGCTAGTAAAGTGTTGTTGAACAAAAGGTCCCTGAAAAGCCAAGACCACCACAATTATCTTAGGGGTGTGTTAGGCATTCCCTAGTGACTCATTTTCTTTGTAAGCTAGGAACTGTAGCATGCATAAAAAGAATTTGACTCTTATTTTGTACAAAATATTAAATAATTTGGAAGAAATGTTAAATAATTAGACACAAATTGTAGGGTGCTTTTTTTTTTTCTTTTGCAAAGTGAAGTTAATTGCATATCTTACACTGAGAAAAACAGGCCAATGATAAAGCCAAACAATGATTTCGAGAAATATGAACTGAATTATGCTTATGTAATTCTTTTTCATTAAAATGCCCAATGGCTTAAGTGTTCCATAAGGAATCATCAAGACCAGGTCCTCCCAAGACCACCAGAAAAAAGAAGCATGAAGCAATTGAAAACCCAAACTTTTGTTTACAGAGTTTTTACTGGCTTCACTCATGGCCCTTTCTGGACTATAAAACAACCCTACATTCATACTGTTTTCTTCTCAGTATCCATTGTGTGAACAAAACAGAGAAGCAGTCACCTTCTCTAGATCTTGTTGAGAAGCCTGCAAAAGCGTTTGGCCAGATGCAATCCAGTGCTTGCCAGAATTCAGGTACGAGCCCAAGCCCTGTTCCATCAGCCAATTGCAAACCTGCTCCTTGGTCCACTTGGCAAATGGCATATCCAAGTCACTACAGGAAAATGAGTAATTGCATGAAAAATAATCCAAAGCCAATCCTGTGGCTTATCATTAGTTTTAAACAACTATACATTCAATAGACATGGAAATTCCCTGGTGATACACATTTGACCATGAAAAGCTTAATTTTTAGTATACATTGGAGGAACAACTGGTTGAAAGTTATCTTCTAAGACCACTGTCTTCATTTCAAATGAAACCACAAAAGATTTAACGTGATAGAGCAAGAACAAGTGCTACAGAAAAAGACCAAATTGGACAAACACAAGTCACTGTATCAGTTTTAACCAATGTTGTTTGAAGATTGGATTCCCAAACAGGAAACTCAGTTGGACTGAAAGAAACTTAAGTCTAATTTGAACTAACTTTAGCAGAATTATGGTTTCTTTCCATATGGTAACCAATGAGAAGAGGGCAATATGTTGTCACTGAGTGTAGGAAACAATCAAAGCAAAATTCCTGTTTTCTTTTACTTAGATACACAAATAGTGTTCTTGTTCCGGGGTGGGGGCAGGGTGCGGAGGGGAAGATGAATGGTTTTTTTTAAATAGTACAAGGAGCTCTACTGTGTTCAAAGACAACATATGGCAAATGAAACTGTTTGGTATTTGAAGAAGGCCAAAGAGAGTTTCCTCCTTGATGTAACCTATGTCCAGTGTTCCACCTGTATGGGAGGGGCTATATGTAAAGGGTTTCTAGTCAGTCTATTATACTGTTAAAAGATTTGGTATCAATGTCTTGTACTTTATGTTTGCCAACCCCACCCTCTTATGCACAGTGAGTCAATGTAGTAGTTCTAAGCCAGCCCTAAACTTTGGTTAAGAGTGTCAGAGCAGTTCTTAGAATCTTAATGGATAAAATATTATATAGTCCTGATAAATACAAGGATTCTGATAGCATTTTTGTCTTTAAGTGCTTTCATAGATTCTGTTACATGCTAATGTTTCTTGAGTAGTTATTATCTGCCAAATATTTAACACATATTAACTTATTTAACCTTCATGGTCAGCTTTTGGGGTAGGTACTAATTATGATGATGAGGAGACTGAGGCACAGGGTGTGGAAGCTGTTGCTCAAGGTCACCCAGCTGGTAGAAAGTGGTAAGGCCAGAAAGCAAATCCAAGTGGTCTGATTCTAGAACATACTCTTAACCACTATGCTATCCCATCTTTCCAAAGTTATGCTTTAGAGTACTTGTAATTACCATCTACGTAAAATTTAAGTCTGAGAGCCATTCTAACACAGATGCTGCTGACACTTTAGCTCTGGCCTCTCCCCTAGTTCGCACAGCCCTCACCTTCTGTTTGTTCATCAACCATTGACAAATTGCACGGCTCTAAAGATGATGGCCCCTTTCATTAGGCACAGCATTAAGCAATGACTTTGTTTAACCCAATGACAGTACTAATACTGCAGGACTCATGAGGCTATGATGCTTGGTAGAGATGCAAAAGTCTATCAGTTGGCTCTTCTTACCTGTTAGACTGTCCCAAGTCTCGAGACCAACCTAATCGGGGCCCCGCGGTTGCCCTTGTCCCTCCTCTTTTGAATTCAGGCTCAGACATGTCATCTGGGTTGAATGTAGTTGATTGACTTCTCCTAAGTCTAAAGAAGACAACACACATGGCCAGTATTAGACCTGAGGAGGCCTTAGACTTGTTAATCAGAACATTTTTAACTAGTGCACCTACTGGAACTAATCCTCTTTGTGTTGTTAACATAGACATTTAAATTTAAACTTTAACTAAGACCCAATGAGTTAATAAATCCCACATCACAATCCAAACTTCCTTCCATAAGAGGAATACAAAGGCCTTACAAAGTCCATACCCATGTCCAGCCACTTTTAAGCAACATGTAAGACAGGGCCCATTCCACTTGTTTACTGCTTTACTTACTTTCCAAAGAGTTTCATGATACCTCTGGATTTCTTTTTGGAATCTGGAGATGGAGGCGGTATCTGGAAGGGACTGTTCCTCTGTGAATCTTTTGGCCGAGAAGAAGCACCAGCCAGATCTAGGTGCTCTGCTGTCTCTTTTTCTGTTTCAGCTACTCCAAGAGCAGAATGCAGACAATGAATTTTAAAATATGGAATAAACATGATGTTAATCTTCTTGGTTCTAGAACTGTTAAGAATTCTTCTGTTGGTCTATAATCAGTGACTTACAAAGAGCACCTTGTAAATATTAGAAATGGAACACACATATACGTTCTGCTCCATAGTTTACTGTGTGTAAACTTAATAAAATTACAAGCCCTTTGGAGATTAAAAGAATGTGATAGGATTGCCACATTCTTTCCTTGAGTGATTTCAATTCATAATGGAATTATTCCCAATCTTTCCATAGCACGTGGTACTGTTGATTACCTGCTACATCCTTCAAAATCATCTCCTTTTGCTTCTTGACATGACCACTCTCCTACATCTGTCATCTGATAGTGTCTTTGCTGTAGCACCCCTGCTTTTTTTTCTTCCCCCATGCCACTTTAAGATTATATTCTAAATGCCCTCTAGAGGATCAGAATCTCTGGGCCTAATCTCTCTCTCTAGGCTCTGTATCTAAATGCCTGTGATATTCCCAATTCAGTGTGTCGGGACATCTGGGACTTCACAAACTCATCCAATTTCCCCGAGAGTCTTTTTCTCTCTTAAATGTTTTTTTTTTTTTTTTTTTTTTTTTGAGACAGAGTCTCACTCTGTTTCCCAGGCTGGAGTGCAGTGACATGATCTCGGCTTACTGCAACCTCCGCCTACTGGGTTCAAGCAATTCTCTGCCTCAGTGTCCCAGGTAGCTGGGATTACAGGCACCCGCCACCACACCTGGCTAATTTTTGTATTTTTAGTAGAGACAGGGTTTCACCATCTTGGCCAGGCTGGTCTTGAACTCCTGACCTCGTGATCCACCCACCTCGGCCTCCCAAAGTGCTGAGATTACAGGCGTGAGCCACCACGCCTGGCCTCGTCTCTTAAATGTTCTTATTTGATATTTGGTTAATATTAATTAATACTGTCCCTGTTACTCTAGCTCAGACTCTATGTCATTTTCCTTTTACTCCTTCTCCTTTGGCATTTACATCAAATCAGTTACCCAGTTCAAGCAATTCTTTATTTTTGAAATGTATTCCAATCTATTAAATCCTAGGCACTGAGAGAAGAATGAACTGGATATGCCTAATTTTTCTTTTGACATAAAGTAAGTGCCTGTTGATTTTACCTTAAAAGAATCACATCCACAGTTGCCACTCTCAGATCTCCAAGCATTAACTATTTCAGTTCTTTTAGCTGTCCCTTAGTGGACAATCCCATACTAGCAAACACAAGGGCTACTGTTGTCTTCAGTGTGAGATTTTATACTTTATAAAAGAAAGTAAAAGTTGTACTAAAATCACAAGAACAGTGTTTCAGCAAGATCTATGAGTTGCAGAAAGTTGATTTTTCTACAAAGCAGAGCTGTGATTATAGGTTATAATAAGCAGCATTTACCTCTTAGCATTAACAAAACAGTTCTTCTAAGAAAGATGCAAAAAAAAACTATTTGAAAATAGTTGTCTGAACAGATCAGTTTATTTTATGCATCCAGTGTTCATTCTAGACATTTATATCGATAGAGAGAGAAGTCCCGTTTGCTGGTCCATGTGAATAGATAGGTGGATATCTATACAAGGTAACAGCACCTTTTGGAAAAACCCAAAGGAACTTTCCCAATTCAAATCCTTCAACCACGATGGCTACAGGTGCCCCTGAAAATGCTGCCTAGCTTATCCTCATCTTAAAACTACCATATTTCTCTTTTTTATTTTGAGAACTTTTTTCCCCATTTGTCCCCTGCCTTACAAAGAGGAAAACTGAGCTGCCCCTCTTCTAAAATCACTTTGGGGGGTAACGCCTCAGATATCAAGTAAAGTTGCTTCTGTCATCACTAAATATTATCTCCATCTTCAAAGTAATAAAACGTCAGAAGAATGTTCCCCTAAGAGAAGTAAGCCTAAAACTATAATATTCAATGTCTTCTATAAACCTCCCTATATGGCCAAAAAAATTTCTTTTTGGAGGCTGGGGGAAATGTAAGCATGGAGAACGGACTGCAAGGACCTGGGAGTTAGTGTGTGGTAATATGCACTTCAAGGCTGAAAGAGCTGCAATGTACAATGCCAGGACATTCCTGCCCTGCACTCTGAGGGATGCTGCACACGTCTAGGTCCTCTCAAAGCTATTCACACAGTGAGTGTTACTAGTATTGGTTAAAACAGCATTTAGGCTTGGAAGCAAAGCCTCTACAGAGTCCTTTTTAGCAGAAGGTGGAAAGAACACTCCGGAATAGAGAACTACATTTTCTGATTGCTGTCAGATCGCTTTCTAGAGATCACAGATGCCAAGAGCAGGGATTAGATTGGTTTGGAGCACAGTGCTGGTGAAGGCTGGCATGCAGGGGTACAATACCTAGGGTGGGTGCACTGGCACTTCGTTTACGATCTTCAGATATCCCAACAACGCACACAATCACACGCAGCCCAATGGAGAGAACACAGAGATGACAAAATGAAATGCAGATCAGACTCCTCCTCGCCAAATACACACCGTGGAGGAGAGGCATGCGGCACACAGTGCTTCTGATGTTACACACAGGCTCAACGTCAATGTTAATTTATCCACTATCACAACAGATGGGAAACTCCATGATGAAGTCAAAGGGAATCATGATTTTAGGTCTTTCCGCTAAGTTTATACCACAGGAGAGAGCAGGGTGAGAGTCTATATATCTTCACAACACTAAATTAAATCCACGGAGGCATTTTTTGCTAAATTCCCCTAAGTCATTCACCTTCGTTTCTGAGAAAGAGAAATGAATCAATGAATGAAAGAGTAAGGGAAGGGAAGACACTGCTCTTTTCCTCCTTGTGGAAGAATTAGGGCAAAGGCATTTTGGTCATACGTACCTAAGTTTGGTGCACTTGCTGTTCTCTTGTTACTTTTGATTTTAAAAAAGCCCCGGCCAAAGGAAGATCTGACTTTTCGAGTGCCGAAGGGGTTGTCATCCATGGAGGTGTCCTGCCCTGGGGGCCTGGGAGGAAGGGTCCCAAATGGCCTGCTTTCTGCCGGAGCTCTGTCCTGAGAGGCAAATAAGAATAGTGAAACAGCTCTCAGGTGCAGCATCCTCAGCACATGCCAGGCTAACAGCAAATACTCACTCACGCCACATCCATGAGTTTATTCAAAAGAATAACTGAACTAATACATTGATCACCAATGTCAAATGCCTTATCAGAAGTTGAAAAAAAATCAATTCTGAAAGCTACTTAAGAAACAACAACAAAAGCAACAAGGAAAACATGTTCATCACTAATCTAGAATCGATATGTCTAGGGCTTTAAATATTTAGGATACAAAAATTCTTAAATTTTGTTTGCCTCATTCCTCAAAAGACATGGAGACATTACATAACCAGAATAATAGCAGCAGATTTCTGACTTTTCTAACAATTATGTCACGGATTTAGCTATAATACAGTTCATATTCTTATATTATAACTTTGTCAATAGAAGCCTAATATAATATTAATTATTCTACAAAGCAGGCATTAGTTCAAACTTCTATACCAGCAGTATAAGGAGATTCTATTCCAGTTATTTTAAATATTCTCCTCAAAGAATAAGAAAATGAAGGCACAGTGAGCAACTTTATTTTGAGCTTTTTGGTTCTTTGAATGGGCAATTAGAGCCAGCTGTAACACAGTATATTATTTTAGTATTTATACAAAGATGCTTTGCCTAGATCAATGTCATGAAGTGTTTCCCCTATGTTTTCATCTAGCAGTTTTATAGTTTCTGGTCTTATATGTAAGTTCTTAATCCATCTTGAGTTGATTTTTGTTGATTTGGTGACAGGTGAAGTCCAATTTCATTCTTCTACATATGGATATCTAATTTTCCCAGCACCATTTATTGAAGTGGGTGTCCTTTATACAAAGATACTTTTGTCTTCTTGTTTTCATTTCTCTATTCTTTCCCTCTGCTTCTTTTTTTTGCAGAAGTAGAAATAATTCTTGCCCTCTGCTTCTTTTTTTACAGAAGCAGAGAAAAGGGTGAGGGGATATAGGTATTTTAGGTGGTTATTTTACTCTATATATCTACAGCTCATAGAAACCAAAAGTTTACAGATGGCACAATTTAGTGATATTATCATCCATGGCTCAACAATGACGTCAAAATCATTTAACCATTTATTGAACTGAAAAGACAACAAGGATTTTAATTATAGCTGTCACCACTGGCTGCTTTGTCAATTCTATCCACATATGACTCAGGCACTAAGAGCCAACAGTCAAGAGACTGGATCTGGAGGTAGCCTATCAGGCTGTAATCTTCACAAGGTTAATGACAGAAAATCAGAGGACAGAACAGGCACAGTGGCTCATGCCTGTAATCCCAGTACTTTGAAAGGCAGAGGTGGGAGGATTACTTGAGCTCAGGAGTTCAAGATCAGCCTAGGCAACATGACAAGATCTCATCTGTACTTAAAAAATAAAAAATAAAAAAAAAAACAAACGAAAAAAAAAAACAGCCGAGTATGGTGGTGCACGCCTGTAATCCCAGCTACTTGAAAGGCTGAAGTGGGAAAATCACCTGAGCCCAGGAAATCGAGGCTACAGTGAGTTATAATTGCACCACTGCACTCCAGCCTGGACGACAAAGTGATACCATTTCAAAAAAAAAAAAAAAAAAAAATCAGGGGAAAGAAGAATTGAGCACATGTTGACGACATCTTTAAACATACCAAAATGTTTGCTTTAGATGGGCACCGGGTGTATAATCTAATGGTAATCTAAGAAGGGCTTTTGGGGAGGTCTAAGGAAGCTCAGTTATGGTCATTAGGAACATTAAGTAGCATGACTGAGAGACTATGGTTTTGTTTTTTAATAACTTACTGAAGTGAAATTCATAACAAAATTAACAATTTTAAAGTGCACAATTCAGTGGCATTTAGTATGTTACGATGTTGTGCAACCACCACCTCTACCTGCTTCCAAAACATTTCCATCATTCGAAAGCAAAACCCCTTACCCTTAAACAGCTTCTCCCCATTTTTCCCACCTCTTACCACTGGTAACCACCGATCTGCATTCTATTTCTATAGATTTATCTGTTCTGGATGTTTCACATAAACGGAATCATATAATATGTGAACTTTGTGTCTGGCTTCATTTAGCATAATGTTCTAGAGGTTCTGAAAGTTTTTATCTACTGGAGACATTTAAGCAATTTACATGTAATGGAAGTAGAAATATTTTTGCATTGTAATTTGGACAAAAAGTTACCTCTGAAGTCTTCTGAATAGTTTCCTTTTCCTGTTCAAAGCAATAACAATATTTAAGGTTGTTAGGGAAATCCTTTGTATAATTCTGAATTTGTCACATACAACTCCATAAGTTAAAATAATTTTATATCTACTTCTAAGCTACAAAATCTTAGTATTGTTTATTTTCCAAAATGTTTTATTAAAGTCTCCATTTTTGGTTTTACATACTATTTTCAATCCTTCATATTCATACTTCTTAATATTTACTGTTAAACCTAACATCTAATAATTTTCCACTAAAAACCACAAGCTCTTCATAAGAGTTTTATTTGCAAAAAGGGAAAAGATGAAGATCCCTAAATAGTTTTTTCTCAGGATAACAGACAAAAAAAAACAAAAAACACAGAACCCACCCCATCAGATGTCTCTTTCTTCAGATTGCCCAGGCTGCTGGACTTCTGCAGACTTGAAGTTCTAAAAATAACAGTAATAACAATTAATAATAAGTGGCTCCAGTGCCACTGTTTCTAAGTAAAACATCTTGGAAAGAAACTAAAATTGCGTGTGGGTTGAATCCTGGCAATAAAAGAAAATCTGGAATCAGGCAGTCACTTATGTGCTTCACTAAATGACAACATTTAGTTCTTTTAAAAGCAGGGGTGATTAACTGTCCTGCCAATAATTCTAACTGTTCTGCACATGTTAGAAGAGCTGGAAAAGCACTTAGGACTAGCCTTGTGATGTCAATATTCGAAAATAAAGCAGTGTTTTCCATGGACTAGTGCTGCATCCTCTGCATGTACTAGGAACTTTAAAAATACTCACGTACTATTTATATCTAATCCTTCTAATTAAAATAAAGAATGGAAGTTTCACTTTTCAATTCACAAGGGAATCACATTTCTGAGTCTGGCAAAGCAATTCATTTTATAGTTCTAATTAAAGCATAGTAGAGGAATCCCTAATGCTGCCCATAATAATTCATTTGCTATCCTAGTGAAGGCAAAGAGACACTATAAACATCCAGAGACTTTCTCTTTCACATAATTAATATTCAATTATATAGAGCTGGTGTTACTAAAAACTTGAAGGTAGAGATATGTGACCAGTTTAGAGAGAGTGACAGAGAAGTAATGTATTTGCCTCTACGAAACAGAATAATATAAATATGCACATTTACAAACTTTCAAAAGGCATTTCTTCTGTATTTAGGTGTATTGCCAGAAGTATCAACTACCAAATAAAGTAAAAGATAATAGTGAGAAAGAAAAGATCTCATTTTTGAGTACTGCTCTGAAAATAGACTTTCCTAATTTAATCCAGACTTTAACTTGGATAAACACAGATATTAGGTCAGTTCATAAAACTGAAAGTGCAAAAAAACCCATCTCAGCTTTCCAAGCATCACATCATTCCCTGTGATGCCTTCCCACTGGACTCAAAATATGTCAGTGCAAAAATGAATTAAAAGCATTGAACTTCAAATGAAAACTGATGAAGCAAGGCTAGAGACCTGCAAAACCCCGGCATGAGATCTGCAAAACCCTGGCATGAGATAATAGCAAATCAGAAATTATTTCTTTGTAAACTTACAGCTCCCCACCTTCACCCCCACCCAATTATTATAGCTACATTGATTTATTCAGTAATTTAACAGCCTCGGTCATTTGCTGTTAATATTAGTAATTGTTAGTATAACAGAACTCTCTTTCTCTAGCCTCAATCACATTTTTCACATTCAATAAAATGTAACTTACAAAAGTTTATCACACAGTTGGGTATCAACAGTGGCACCAAGGATTATGTTTCCATCACTAAAATGTAAAGAACAAAAGGTATTTATTAACTTCACGAATAAAAGACCATATATGTTCTAAGTGAACAGATAAGTCAAAAACAAAAAATTATGCAAAGGAAGCTATTTCTATTTTTTTAAATGTCCTATTTTATTTGGCCTAAAATAAGACTAGACAATCTGGGAATATGTTGGCAAAACATTCTATTTTCTTAGAGACAAACTACTGTATCCTTTTCCTGTCCCCTTCAGACCCATCCTTCAAACACACTTACAGCCCGTGACTGTGACTATTTAGTTTACAATCCTTTGACAGTTACCTATGACCTCGGATATAAAAATCCAAGTTCCCTAAACTTTTTTTTTTTTCTTTTTGAGACAGAGTCTCGCTCTGTCACCCAGGCTGGAGTAGAGTGATGTGATCTCGGCTCACTTCAGCCTCCGCTTCCTGGGCTTATGTGATTCCTGTGCCTCAGCCTCTGAGTAGCTGGGATTACAGGCGTGTGCCACCATACTCAGCTAATTTTTGTATTTTCAGTAAAGACGGGATTTCGCCATGTTGGCCAGGCTGGTCTCAAACTCCTGGCCTCAAGTGATCTGCCCACCTTGGCCTTCCAAAGTGCTGAGATTACAGGCGTGAGCCACCACACTTGGCCAAGTTCCTTAAAATCTCTTTCTAACCTGACAACCCTACCTCCCCAGCCTGATCTCTTATTATTTCCTGCTTCACACCTTTTATTTCCATAATACAGAACTGATTACAGATCCCCCAGTGGACATCTTGCAGTTTCTTGCTTCTCTAGGTAAAAATTGTGTCTGTAAATAAATGCAATACATCCTTGTCTTTGGCTGATCTACTTTTTTGAACATTTATATTGCACTGTTAATAAATGACATACTTTTCTTCAAATGAAGTCTCTGGCTTAGGAGTCAACTTTGATTTTTCAGAAGTTTCCATGCTTACAGTTGCTGGCAATAATGAAGGGATGGAAACTTGCAAGATGGTAGTATGGAACTGTAATGTAATTACAAAAAATCAATCAATCAATCAAAACAAAACACAAGCCACAGAGTAATTTAAATAAACATAAGAAAATTAAACGGTCTATTGACAAAATCTCATAATCAGTGTTCAGAACTGTATAAAATGATTTCAGAATATAAACATCTATATAGAAGGAGTACTAATCAAGGAAATCATTCTGGAGGAAGGAAACTTTTTAACTTGGTTCTGAATAAGACACTGAATATTGTGAATAAGACGGTATACCATTAAGTAAGTTAATAGTAATTTTTTTTTCTTTTTTTTGAGACGGCGTCTTGCTATGTTGCCCAGAATGGTCTTGAACTCCTCGGCTCAAGCAGTCTCCTGCCGTAGCCTCCTGAGTAGCTAAGGTTATAGACGTGTGCCACTGTACCCAGCTAGTAATAATAAATCCTAACAACCTTAAGCCCTGGATGAAATGTTGGTTCTGACACACTTGCCTAAGTGATCGGTGATCTTAGCAAATAACTTCGCTAGGCATCCATCAGTTTCACCCTCTGTAAAATAAGAATGACAATGCCTACCCCTGCAGGTTGCAATGATTTATTGTAAGATTTGGGTAACACGTTTTGCTTTCAACACTCTATTATTATTATTATTATTATTTTTTTTTTTTTTTTTTGAGACAGGGTCTCACTTTGTCATCCACACTAAAGTACAGTGCTGCGATCATGGCTCACTGCAGCCTTGAACTTCTGGGCTAAAGTGATCCTCCCAACTTAGCCCTATCAAGTAGTTGGGACTACAGGCGTGCGCCACCACAGCTGGCTAATGTTTAAAATTTTTTTGTAGAAACACGGTTTCCCTATGTTGCCCAGGCTAATCTGGAACTCTGTGCTCGAGCAGTCCTCCTGCCTCAGCCTCCCAAAGTGGGATTACAGGCATGAGCCACTGTGCCCAGCGAAAAGCTCCATTTTTACTTTAATTTCTACTACTAATCTTATATGGAACATTGGTCAAGCCAGTTAATTATTATTCTATGTGTGTACTAGTTGACTAATTTCAATTAACATAATTGATGAAAAGTGTAATTAAAACCAATTACAATGGACTTTGTGGCTACCACTTAAAACACTTTGCTTAATGATAATAATAATATTACAGCAACATATAAAATGCATAATACATTTTCTCAAACAAATGCTTTGTGCATCCTAAGGAAGGAGTCTGTGAAATAATTTTAATACTTCAGTTTTCAATAATTTTTTACAACTGTAGAGCAGTTAGATTGCAGGCCACATCATAAATGAATAAATGAAAAATATTTCAGTAAAAAAAAAAATGAACAAAGTTTGCCACAATGAACTCCTGCCAGTCAACCAGTGACAGTTCTTCACCTCTGAAAGCTGCCTGATAAAGACTCACACCAGTGAACACCCTTCTACACGCCAACCAGTCAGCAACAGTCTCACCTTAGTAACCACACATCTACAGTGGATGTCGACTCTCACTTGCCTCAGAAAGTCCACCAACCCTTGAGCTCCAACCATCTCAAAAACCCTACATATGATCAGCTAGAAGAGAATGTACTGGACCGGGAACACTCACTTACTTAAGTAAGCAATACATTCAGCTTTGTGATTTTTGTTTATGTTATTCAGTGGTGGTCTCATCCTTTAACACAATAAAAGGTTATAAAATGTGAAGTCGAATTATTATAAAGTAGCAGATTATTTAACTATCAATCTTTTCAGTTTGAATCTTTATGATGAATCCTGGGCAACTTATTTAGCCATCATCACTGTTTCCTGAAGTTCATTTGTCTCTTGAGATTCCTAATCATGGGGAAAATATAACTATACTAACAGATCAATTTTCTTGATCTTTTTCAAACTTTAAGACTTTAACTCCAAACTCAGATCTCCCTCCTGGCTTTTCTTTAAAAATGTCGCTGAACTCCCTCAACCCTCATCAAACCATTCTTGTTACAAACTTAAAACTACAATTCACATAGCAAAGACTTTTTCTAAAAGGATATGGGATTATTTGGATATACCCTACATGTAACACTAGTTCTGTAACTGCAGCACACTCGTTGACTGTCAAATATTATTTTTGCTTTCGATATAAATATATATCTAACAATTAGGGGATATTTTCCACCAAAGTATTTCTTATTCCTTAACTAATTCCTTGATTAATGAAATATTTCAGCCCTCTCCTACATTTAAGTGAGAAATTTTCAATGTTTTCTTCTTGAATTCATTTTCATTGCATTCAAATTTCATCTTCTTGTTGTGTAATTATCAGCAACAGATATAAAAGTAAAAATGCCACTTGGTTTCTTCTCACTACCTATAGTAAAATGTGAGAAGAGAAATGACCAAAAAAGGAACTGCTAAAATAAGGAAGCCAAGATTGTTTAAACAATGAAACTATTTCCCATTCCCGGTCTTTCTAGACAAAAAAAAATTACACTAAAATTAAGAAATGGTTTCAGGGCAAAGATCAAGCACAAGGGCTATCAGGAAAACATGGTCTTCAGGTGAGCCAAGGATGTGGCTGTAAAACCCTTTGCTAAGACCTCAGGATGGACTAGACTAGAATCAAATAAAAATAGAAAAAAAAATACCTTAGGAAGATTACAGTAGTGCGGTCTCATTGAACCTCTGAAAAATGATGAAAGGCTCTAAAAATAATGGGATGTCCCACTGCAGCCTTACAGGGAAACTTAGCTAGAGATAGGCTTATGGTGAAGATAGCTGTGGATGTGTTCTTCTGTAATGCAGTGAATTATAACATGATTCGTATGAAATTCTAAATGTTTAAAGTATTACACTAAATTAGACTCAAAGGAACAGAGATAATGGAAAATGAAGAGATGAATTTGGATATCTTTGGGCACTTCTGCAGGCACAAAACTGAGAAAACTACTCATCTGCAAATATAGGCAAAGGAAGCATGACTTAGAGGGAAGAGCCAATAGCCCAGAGGATTGGCAACATGTGCCTGGCTGGATTTTGGAATTGCTATGGACTGGTGACACCTGTGAGCCTTCCAGCTCCCCCTTTTTAATGGGAGTGGCTACTGCAGTTACATTATGCCTATCCAACCATCGTATGGGTGTGTGGAGGGCAGATAACTGTCCTTGAAATCCACAGCTCTTTAATTCAATGAAAGAGTCCTCAAGAAGCTATGCGCAAGGAACTGTACCTGAGGAGCTTCACCCACATCTCGACCTGGTCTGGGTGACAAGATCCTGGGATGCTGACGCCTCACTGGAATGGGACTTAGGGGTCTTCGGAAAGGGGGCGAGTGTATTTTGCATGGGAGAGGGATGTAAAGCGGTGTAGCCAGAGGGTAGATTATATTTTCCAAATATGGTTGCACCAATATTTCCCATCCCACGTGTCCTAACAATGTAATGTTGTCAGTTGTTCATCAAGAGGTAGGGTCTATGTTTCCTCTCCTTGTATCTGGGTGGGCTGCAGGCCTGTGGCTACAGCAGAAGAGATGCCATGTGATTTCTGAGATAAATCATAACAGGCGATGCAAAGTTGCCCGGGCCTCTTGGAATGCTCACCCTTAGGATTGTGAGGAAGCCAAGCGGTCACATGTAGTTGTTCTAAATGGGGCCTCAGCTGAGGTCCCAGCCAAAGGCCAGCCTCAACCACCAGACATATGAGTGAGTTAGCCTTCAGATGACTCAGGCCCAGGCCTTCACGCCACTCCAGCTGATGCCAAGTAGAGCAGAGACGAGATGCTCATGCTGAACCCTGCTAAAGTGCAGAGTCATCAGCAAAAGAAATGCTGTCATTGAAGCCACAAAGTTTCGGTGTGGTGTACAATAGACAGCAAACAGATTTTCCTGCCAGTTTGATGCAAAGTAAGGAGTGTATAACTGTTTACTCCTCTCCAGTTGCTTCTTCCAAGTCTAAAGAAGTCAGAAGAAAATTTTATTCAATTATCTTTCAGAGTCACCATCAGAAGTGGCCAAAGTCAATTTATTTATATAACCTCACTTGAGTTGGTGATGGAACTGAGAAAGGAACCCATGTTTTTCATGTTATGAGCAGTGTTTTAACTTTTCAGTAACACAGTCTCTTCAACATAAAGGAAATACTGAAAGTCTATTAATACCTCTTCGGGAACACTTGTGTTAAATGGGTCACAACTGGGAGATCCCATTACTGGAGTGGGTGATGGACTTTTCTCCAGATCACTGAAACCCTGTGCATCCAGCAAAGAGGAGATGGAACTGGAATTGAGCAGCTCTTCATATTCTCCATCTTTGCCTAGGAAAAGATAAAACAAAGAGAAGACAACAGCAGCTTTTGATTTATATTTCACTTTTACAAGAAGATAAGAATCCCAATTATAACGAATATAAAATTTTTTCTGATCCTCAAAAATCAGAGTCAGCTTCTCCTGGCAGCCCTTGAAAAACAACATAGGACCTAGGAAACAGCATTTGAAACTAAGGCCAAGGGCTCTTGGGCCACAATGGCTACCTGTGATATTAACAGACAAAGTCATACTCGATACATTGACTCATCAGATTGAAAGAAAATTAAAAGTTAACTTTTTCCAACAACTCTCTTGTAACTTTGTTTTAAAATCAGGGGCTTACAAATTTTAGTGTAGAAATATTCAAACTGAAGAATACCTGGTACAAAAAACGAATTGTGAATAGCAACAAAGTCCCATTTAAACAACTTAGTTTTCATCACTGCTGTGCTCTTGAAAAAACATAGGAGAACAGAAAAAACAAAAAGACAGATGATCTTTGATCTCTCAAGAGGATCCTTTTATCCCATTTTAAAGCAAAAAACGTCTGATGGAAAAAACCAACCACATATTCACCAAAGCTGCAAACTTGAGAATTTTTTTTTACATCTCTAGAAATCAAAAGGGATTAAATGGTGAACAGCGCAGTGCCAGATATTCTTTTTTAAAAACAGAAAAAAATGATACTTAACACGCTAATCTACAAATAATATGACATGGTAAATCATACACTTGTTTAAAGATCTTAATCAGACCACAGCTTCTTAATTTAGGTTTCACTAGAATGTTATTCTAATTCTATTAGAATTTAGTGTTATTAGAATTGTATGAGGATTAACTAAATATAACTCCTAGTGAGAAATCACTGTTTATACAACTCTTTATTGGAACAGAACATAGTTTTCAAGGGTTTAAGAAAATCTGTGCTGCTGTACATTGTTAAAAACTACCTCTTGTATTTACACGTTTGTATGCACAGGAAAAAAAGCTAGAAATAAACAATACACAAAAATGCCAATAGTGATCATGCCAGTGCAATTACGAGTGATTTTTATCTCTTTTCTTTATTTTCCAAATGTTTTACGATATAGTCTAATTACAGGAATTAATTTTTTCTGCCTTGGTTTTAAACGTAAGAATTGGACAGTTGAAATTCTATAAAATCAAACAACATTTTAAATGCCAGGCATATGTAAAAATTAATCACTTACAAATTTGCAATATTCCATAGGATAGAGACTCTTCTTCTGAAGGCATGGAAAATGCTGAGTGATGAGAATTGCTAGTCAACACTGATTATTAGAGGTTCATTTGCTCACTCAGATATTTATAAAATCGATTATGCCAGACCTTGTGTACAAAATTTTTTTTTTCAAAAATCCTGATCCAAAGCAGGATTTTCCTTCTCTGTGAACTCATCAAAATTAAAACTTCAAAATCTGAGTGTTTCATGGGGACCTTCCAAAAGAATTGTTTATATCCAGTGCTTACGTTGCGAGCAAATAACTCTATTTATGCATTGCTAAAAAACAAGAGCACTTTCAAATTTCCTCCACATTTGAGGATGGCCAATTGGCCCATCTGCAGATAAAATAATAATAAACACAACAAAATGCACAACTCTCTTTATGTACCTGTCTTACAGGGTTTTTCTGAACTCACCATGTTCAAAGCTGAACTCAATCCCCCTTACCCAGCCCAATGTTCCTTCTCTAGGCTTCCCCATATCAGTCAATGGAACCATCATCTACCCAGTTGCTTTAGTTGGAAACGTCTTTCTTGATTTCCTCCCCCTTCTTCACTCTCCTCCTCTATCTCATTACACCACTGTGTCAATCCAACCATAACATATTCCCAATCAGCAACTACTAGATTTTTTCACTTGGAATACTGCAAATCTCTGAATTGGTTTCTGCGGCTCTCAATACTGCTCACTTCCCTCCATGGCCCACGTGTTACAAAGGTCATGCTGCTGACTTTTTTTTTGAGACTGAGTCTCACTCTGCCGCCTAGGCTGGAGTGCAATGGCGCAATCTCGGCTCCCTGCAACCTCCGCTTCCCGGGTTCAGGCGATTCTCCTGCCTCAGCCTCCTGAGTAGCTGGGACTACAGGTGCCTGCCCCCATGCCCAGCTAATTTTTTTGTATTTAGTAGAGACGTGGTATCACCATGTTGGTCAGGCTGGTCTCTAACTCCTGACCTTGGGTGATCCACCCACCTTGGCCTCCCAAAGTGCTGGGATTACAGCCGTAGGCCACCACGCCTGACCACTGCTGACTTTTAAAACCCTTCAGTGAGTCCCTCTGCACTTGAGCAAGAGCTTAACTCCACCCCTTGCGCTACCAGAGGTTGCTCATCATTATGGTCTCATCTCATCCCCTCTCCCCACTGCCCACCACCTTGCAGTTGCACTGGTGTTCTTCTTCTTAAGCATGCCATATTCTTTTCCCCCTAGGCTCTCTGCATATACTGTCGTTTTTCTCTCTCTGGAATGCTATCTCATCAACTCCTTAGAGAGGCACTCCCCGACCAATGACTCTACAGTACACTCACTCCTCAGGCTGGACACTTTCTGGCAGAGTACAGTTGCCTAATTGTTCAATTAACGAATTAGCTACCTAATTTGGGACAATGGGTATGATCCAGGAAAGAAATTGAGGCCAAATGTGTAAGTTTATAGCCACTTAGAGTCAACCAAAGTAGAAAAACTTTTAGAGCTACACTCTACCTTTTTTACCTTGGGCCAGTACCACCGTGTCTTGCATTTTCTTGTACCTGTTCAGGCACTGTCGAAGATCTTCTATTTTCCGATCCTAGGAATAAAATAAATTGTAATCTTTAATCCTATGTTCTTAAAAGAGTAATAGTAATTCCATAAAGAATTGCATAAAGAATAGTAATTACATAAAGAATACGCATGATTCTGCCGAGAGAGCATTTAAAAAAAAGAATAAGCAGATGTGAATTATTTACCTTATTTAAAGAATACTTCTAAGCTTTAGGAGAACTGGTAATAACTAGACTATGTTTCCTACATACATTAAACATATGGGCAAAGTACCTCTAAATTTAGAGATCCTATCCTTTAGCTGCCATCTTTAAACAAACAAAAACAAAACAAGGTAATAAGACACAAAACAAAAAAAGAAAAAAGTCAGCTTCAATAACTCTCCTCTCTAAGTCAAACCTTAAAAGAAAGACCCCCATCTTCTGTCTTTATTAGCCATCATTAATCACCATCTGGCTTCTCCCCTCTTAAAACACTCTACCAAGGTGACCTCCTATCTATTAAAAACAATGAACACTTTTCATCCTTTTTCTCTTTTTTTTTTTTTGAGACAGGGTCTCGCTCTGTCACCCAGGCTGCAGTGTAGTGGTACAATCTTGGCTCACTGCAGCCTCAACCTCCTGGGCTCAAGTCATCCTCCCACTTCAGCCTCCTGAGTTGCTGGGAGTACACGCATGCACCACTATGCCCAGCTCATTTTTGTATTTTTGTAGAGATGGGGTTTCACCATGTCACCCAGGCTGGTCTTGAAATCCTGGGCTCAAGTAATCTGTCCACCTTGGCCTCCTGAAGTGCTGGGATTACAGGCGTGAGCCACCATGCCCGGCCCCAACCTTTTTCTAATTTGACCTCCATATGGCACTTGACTGACCCCACTCTTTCCTTCTCCTTTCACTTATCCATCCACTCTTTCTTTTCTTCGATTTTTATTTCTCAATCCTTTGACCAGATAGCTGTTGAACTTCCATAACCCCCATTATCTTCTTGGACTATAAAATGCTAGAGCTTCCAGGTTCTGTCCATGACCCTCTTTGCTTTTCCCATGTGCTCAACTGTGTTATGAAAATGGCCTCCCTAGCGCCTCCCATTCTCATTCTGGGCCTGGCCATGTGGCTGGCTTTGGCCAAAGAGATATCAGCAAATGTTATTCAAGCAAAGGCTTGAATAACATTTGCCCTTTGTGGCTGCCCTGTGGTGTGGCTCTAAGGAACCCTGAGGAACTACGTGAAGAAGTCCAGCCTAGTCTACTGGAGGATGGGAGACCATCTGGAGAAGAGGCTAGTCCTCCCAGCTGGGGCCAACCTAAACTAGGCTGTCAATCACTGGACATGTGAGTGACACTATCCTAAATTATGCATGCAGTCTCATCTAAGCCACCAGCTGACTGTAGACATCAGCTAAGCCAGCCGAGATCAGAAGAATCACCTAGCCAACTCACAGAAGTATGAGAAATAATAAATGTGGCCTGTCACAAAGCAAAAGCTAACTGACACATCAACTGTGGCTTAGTCCCCACCAATCTACAACTCTGCATTTCTCCTAAAATTGATGGGTCTCACTCCCCACTAATCTATAGTTCTACATTAATCTTAAAATTTAGATTTATGTTCCAACTTTCTGTAAGAAATCTCCTTTAGAATGTCCCATAAGCATATTGAATAGACTATATCTACAATTAAGCTCATTCTTTCCCTTCAGTACTTGAGTCTGTGCTTGGATTTCCTTAACTCCTTAAGAGAACCATCCATTCATCCATTCACCCAATTGCCCAAACCAGAAATTTTCTCTCGTTTTTCAAATCCAGAGATCTTAAATCTTGTCAACCCGTAAATTTCTCTAAAAGCTCTTCCCACCTTATCACTTCACTGCTATTGCCTTACTTCAAGCCCTCTTCATTTCTCACCTATTTTAACTGACTCTTAACTGTTTGTCTGTCTTCACTCTCCCATTCTGCTACCAGAGTTAGCTTTCTAAAATGGCAATGTAATCATGTCACTGCCTAAGGTTTACAAGCTAAGACCCTAAATCAAGACCATGGTGTATGAAGTAGCCTGCCCACTGACTTAGCTCTGTGGTCAGCCCCACGCCCCGACTCCACCTGCACTTCATGTTCCAGCACAATCCCAGCATGCACTGCGCTGTTTCAAACCTGGTCTCGAGACAAGTTTTGATTCATGGACCCTTTGCCTAAGAAGCCTTTATTTTCCTGATGAACAACTCTTGCTCTTCCCCAGAATTTGCTCAAATTATGTCCTCTTTGAAGTCTTCTGAATCCCCGACCCCACGAGGAAGTTATGTTATGCTGGGTGCCCCTCTAACAGTTTGAGCATCTCATAAGCCCTCATTCAACACTGGGAATTTTGTTTGCTGTGGCTTTTTGAGGGACAGAAATGAAAACAAAATGAATTTCAGTGATTTAAAAAAAAATAAAAGTTACAGTGGGCAGCTTGCTAATTACTTTTTTTTTATTCAATAGTGGGAAACATTAGCAAAAAGGAACCTATATGAGTAGACATGACAATCAGTTTACTTCCAGGCAATAAAGAGCAAATAAAGAGAATGCGAGGCAAAAATAAACAAGGAGATAAGAAAAACAGAAGAGTCAAGAATGAGAGAAAGAAACTTACGATGGGAGAAAAAGATCAAGCTAAAGTTCTTTGACTTTTTGTTGTTTTTTACTTCCTTGAAATGACTCTTCTTTTTGGGAAAATGTCCCCTGGTTCTATTCATTCAGGCAGATAAGGGGAGAGAAGTTCTGATGACATCAGCTGAACACAGCTGCGGCTGCCTGCTAGATACGTGGTCAGGTAAGCCACGAAGAAACCCATTACTTTCGTGCAGTAACTGCATCCCTGCCCTTAGCAGGACGAAACATCACATGTGGATAACAAGAACCAACTGGGGGGGGAGGAAACCTGTGGAAACCTTGGAATGCAGCCAGTGTAGCTAACGTAAAGCCCATGCCGCTGTTTTCTGGTATTTAATCTCTCGGGAGAGCAGAGACAATCACAGATGTGAAACAGGCCAGGAGTGTAAAGGAAATAATGAGTAAATGGAGGACAAAACCAACATGACCATGAAGCTGAGGCTGTCAAGCTAGCTCCTTCAGGGCCCAAAAGTTAGCCCAGAATTTTCAGTGCCCACATACAGGAGGTACTATGGAATGTATCCTCTCTCTTACATGTCACGTGAATATGCGGAACTGATCAGAGAGTTTGAACATTTTCTGAATTCGTGGGGGCAGGAGTTCTCAGTGGAGCCAGTGCAGCTCCTCCCTATTCCTGTGCATACAGCCCACCTGGGAGTGTGCACACCTGCCCCTCACTCCTAGCAGTGTTCTGGGCATGTTCTTTTAAAATGGCATAGCTCATGAAATTGCATGGAATGGTCAAAATGGTGTTAAAAAACATCCACACGTATATTTAAATTTCATCTGGATACCTTTTCTTCATTTGCTGCCATCAAGGACTCCACAGCTTTTTTCATTTTTTGTACTTCGATGTCTGAAAATAACATCAAATCAGAAGTCAGTTCAGTTCACATGTGTGACAGTGATAAGAAGTTATTTACTCTCCAGACTGAAATATTTTAAGGTAAAGATGTTAATGATTTCTTTCATTTATTCTTTAAAAAGGGCACATTTAACACCCATATTCTCTTTTGGAAAAATCTGAAAAGATGGACATCTTCTACCTCACCTGAACAGTTGCCACTCTAGAAAGAAAACAAGGGTGTGTGAGAACTAGCTATCCTCTCTTAAAGCAACAAGAGAATCTTCATGAGAACACTGAAGATGAAATTTCAGTGCTATAGTAATAAAAACATAACGTTTCTAAAACAGGAATCTATAAAGCAGTGCGTGAAAGCCATGAATGGTATATATAATGACAAAAGCAGAGAAAATGATAGTTATAACCAAGATAGAGGCATGAATGAACGGTAAGTGCCTGATGGCTTGTAGTATTTACATGAGTAGTCATGCTAAGAAGCTGGTTGTAGTTCCATACGTAAGGATAATAAGTACTTTGCTTCATCTATAAACTTCATTTCCAATACTACCTTAAGATAGATTTCAAGACATAAAGGCCAAAGTAAGCTGAATGTGATTCTCCTTAAAATTTGATATTCAAATACAAAAGCATGTTACTTGAATAATAAAAAACTTATATATTTTAAAGATGAAAAGTCACTCCAGGGCCTGGTGTGGTGGCTCATGCCTGTAATCCCAGCACTTTGGGAGGCCAAGGTGGGAGGACTGCTTGAGCTCAGGAGTTTGAGACCAGCCTGGGCAACATAGCAAGACCCTGTCTCAAATAAATAAATAAATGAAAAGTCACTCCAAAATGAAATCACAAACTAAAAAATTCAAACAGGAAAAAAAAAATCAGCTAAAGTTGCCTGCTTCTGAGAAAAAAAAAATTACTGAAGATAATACTTTTTTTTAGAGACAGCATCTTCCTCTGTCATTCAGATGGAGTGCATGGCACAATCACAGCTTACTGTAGCTCTGAACTCCTGGGCTCCAGTGATCCTCTCACCTCAACCTCTTGAGGAGTTGGGATTACAGGAGTGAGCCACCACATCCAGTCTTCTTAAGATAAGTTATAAAACAGTGGTGCATCATTCAGCATTGGTGTAACATTTTCAATTAAGATATATTCTATAGGAATTGAGAATTTAACATCTGGGGGAAAGAGCCCCTAAGGAGTTAATTTTTTTTTTTTTTAAGAGATGGGGTGTCAGTGTTGCCCAGGCCGTGGTACAATGGCAAGATCATAGCTCACTGCAGCCTCAAACTCTACAATGGCAAGATCATAGCTCACTGCAGCCTCAAACTCCTAGATGCCTGGGGCTCAAGTGATCCTTCCACCTCAGCCTCCTGAGTAGCTGGGACTACAGGCATGCACCACCATGCTCAGCTAATTTTAAATTTTTTTTTGTAGAGACAGGATCTCACTATGTTGCCCAGGCTGGTCTTGAACCCCTGGCCTCAAAAGTGATCCTCCCACCATGCCTGGCAGGATTTACCTTAATGTTGCATTAAATATTCAGGCTCCATGAATCAGCTGGATTCAATCTCTGTTGTAACAACAGAATATGTTCAAAGGAGCTTCTAATAGATCCCAGACAAATAGTGGACTTCAAAACATTGAAAAGCAAAAGCAAATTTCAAAATTATCTTTCAACTCTGGTAAACCTTTAAAATCGTGAGTTTTCGTACTATAAAAGTTATTTTCTCCTCTGACCCTGAATCACCTAGACTGCAGGGAAAATGTTTTCTTACATCCACAATGCTGTGTGCCCGGTTATACACTGTAGAGCGGAAAGGTTGAATCAGACAAAATCTTCAAAATAATCTTTTACCTTATTGTTTTATTATCCACCCTCTATTGTGTACACTCTGAAGAAATGGAGGGCTTATTGATGAAGCAACTTTACATCTTTGGTGAGAGAAATGTTTTAAAACACATGCAAAGAACAGTCCAAGGTAGTATTTTTGGTGAATGTAAAGGCTGATGGAAATGCACCAAACCTTACTTTTTTCTTTGAGCTTCTTTTTAAAATTTTCATCTGTGCAGGAAAACCCATTGGATTGGAAGTTAGCATACATTACAACAATAAGTAATATTTTTAAATCACTACTATTTAGTCTCTTTTTACCTAAAATAACGGAAATCTAACCTCATAAAAACTTTTTCAGCACTATTTTGTGACTGCAGGATTGGTAGTACAATAATGCTCTATGTGAGGTTAGAAAGAGAACAGAAGACCTAAATTTGAGTTACTACCTCTGTCACTTCATTTTTCTGGACCTTGATTTTCTCACATTAAAATTAGGTTTATGGACTACAAGCACTTCTTATACCATAAATGATGAAAACCTAGTTAGTGTCACTTTGTTTTTATATTTCCATCACGGTTTGATACCTGGTCCTCCTGAATGTGACTAGAACACTGCTTGTGTCACATGCAACTCACCACTCAAGTTCAACAACACTGAAAGGGTCTATCTCCTGTCCAGTAAGATGAGTCCAGTGAGGATGCAGTTAGATGCTATCCCAATATCACCCTGACATGAGCTTTCTAAAGACTTGTTCTCAATCCCCGTAGTTAGCTGGTGGGCACTGGTAACACGCAGTTCCCAGGTTGGTTCGAGTCCTCAGATCAGACTTTGGGGAGCATACTCTAATATCTTCTAGCCCACAAGTCCTGTGATGCCATTTTATTCTTTTTTTTTTTTTTTTTTTCAGAGACAGGATCTTGCTCCATTGCCCAGGCTGAAGTGCAGTGACACAGTCATAGCTCACTACAGCCTCGAACTCCTGGGCCTTAAGTGATCCTCCCTCCTCAGCCTCCCAAGTAGGTGGGATTACAGGAGTGAGCCACCATGCCTGGTGAAATTTGAAATTTAAAAATTTCAAATCTTAAAAAGAAATTTTTTGTAGAGACAGGGTCTCATTGTGTTGCCCAGGCTGGTCTTGAACTCCTGGCCTCAAGCGATCCTCCTTCCTCAGCCTTCCAAAGTACTGGAATTACAGGTGTGAGCCACTGAAACCAGCCCATTTTATTCTTAAAACCCTGAAAGCATGATCAGTATGACCTGTTTCTGAATGTCCCTTATCAATACACAATTATATATATGCCAAACAGTAGGTGATGGGGTGGGGCGGTGAAGCGGTTGGTGGTGAGAATCCATTTTCCTCAGGCTTGATGAATTTTCTGACGGACAGGGAATTGTGATACCTGCAGGGGTATAAGGCCATGGTATTCTAGAGCCAAGAAGGACTTTAGAGATAATCTAACTCAAGTCCCTCATTGGACAGACAATGTTACTAATGTTCATAAAATGGATAAAAATGTAACAAAGCTACGCTAACTGGAATTTGTACTGTTTTGAATGACTCAGAAATTGCTTTGGTATCTCATAGGGCCACAGTCATCATTCGTAATAACAAAGAAAGGTTAAATTTAACCTAGTGTTGTCAGATATTATGCACATTATATTTCCAAATATAATTTTAAAAATGTATTTCATTCGGGCTATTTTCTATCATGCACAATCTGCTTTGTTAGAAATTATGGTCCATATAATACTCAGAACAAACCTCTGCTGTTATGAAAAAAGTTTGGACAAATTCATGCATTTTTTCCAAAAACAGAATTAGCCTATTTTTCTAAAAGGTGGAGGGCTCAATCCCTGGTATAAATTTTTTACTAATTTTTCCAAAGATACAGAACCATTTTTCTCTTCTCTCAAAAGGGCAGAACAGTTTCTAAGTCCCTTACTTTATCTAATTTCAGTTCTGAGGGCAACGATCCCGGGACACAGGGATGGTTCTTTTTAACTCCTTTGGCACAAATTCCCTTGCATCGCAATTGAGACAAGTCCATCCTTGTGATGAGAATTTACAGTCTAGCAATCTTAAACACCAAATAAAGTACAGAATTCCCCTTTTCCAGCTGCTGAAGAGGAAATTAATGGATTCCCAGTCACAGTAAAGAGTCTTGGAGAATCCCCTGTGGTTCTGGTCCTGGCTGGATTCTGCTGCTCTTTCTTTGATGCTAAAACTACACATTGATTTTCATTGGTTTCCTTTACAGATTTTGGAGGACTTTAACAAAATGAGATGATAAATGTGAAATATATCTTCTTACCTCTATCAACAATTTCAACCCCTTCTCCTTTCATCTTGCAAACCAATTTTTCTTGTAGCCTTTTTACTTCAGATTCCTTTTCTTCTAGTTGTTCTTTTAAAGATGCCAGTTCATCCTACAAGTTACAAATTCATTTAAAAATAGCAGATCATGACTGAAAAGGAACATTCAGAGAGCATATTAGCTCTTTAAATCAATAATCAGGTTTTATGAATGAAACAAATCTACTAGAATTTAGATGCAAGCATCAGAAATCAGACAAGGGCAATGAAAAGCAAAAAGCAAGACTATTAGTAGAAGTCCTGTTTATAATAGTTATGGTATAATTATTTCAAGTTTCTTTGTAATCAAATTAAAAAGAGATCTTTTAAAGAGTAATTAGGGATGGGATAGCCCTAAGGTTTAAATCTTTACATTAAATTAAAAATATAACCAAGTTAATCAAGGAAGATAATCAAATTAGATACTTAGTGTCATAAAAGCAAAATAAAATGCAAATTGGAAAAGACTAGCTTGACATTTATTCAGCATTTCAAGTTGGCACTCATGCTTCCTTGACAAGCACAGAGTTTCATTCATGGGTAAGGTAGCAAGTCATGAACAATTTTAGCCAAATCAGGGAACTAAATAATTCACCCTCATCACTAAGACAAAAGGACAGAATCTCCTACAACAATGGGAAAAAATAAATTTCGAAAACAGATAGTGGAGCCCTCTTTTAATTTTTAACTATACAACTGTGTATAAGATTTCAAGTCCATCCTTCTATGTACTCATGTTTAAATTTTCAGTTTCCTTTCAGTAAAGAATTAGTTTTAGCAAACAAATTTTGCTGGCTGTACTTAACACAGAAAATACAGCTATGCAATGCTAAGAAGTACAGCTTTATATTCAACATCACATTTTGCTTTCAGAATCTCTAAAGATATATTTATTACATTTAGTACTATGAGAAGATGTAGTTCTCCAATGAAGTGAGGCACTTGGCCCTATAGTTTTGACTTCTGGTAGGAGCAGAGTGGACAAGTACAAAAAGTCTTCAGTAGCACTGGCAGGAAGTGTGAACCTGTTCTCACCGTGCTGCTTCTCAGCAGTCATTTCTATTCACAGCCATGATAATATCAACTGCTGTACATTTACCATCAAGAAAGTCCCTAAAGAGGAAAATGACCTCTACTGTGGATACGAAACAGAATTCTTTCACAAGCGAATGTTTACAATTATTTTACTAGGCTTGGGTCTCAGATAGTCTAAGAGATTAATTTATAAATTCTTTCTTTTTACCTGTTTATTATTTTTCACCAATTATTTCATGTATTTCTGAAAACAACATCAGGGATCCCATTGTCCCTTCAATCAGCTTGAGGTGATTTGTAATCAACAGGTGACACACACACAGAATGAATGCACATGCCACTAAAAACATCATCACAGCAAAACAACACAAGCCAGAAAGCAACAGGCCATGGACCCCATCACCCAACGTCTACTACACCTTCAGTGACTCCCATTTTTGTTCCATCCGCTGCTTTTCATACTGCATCTGACCCACCTTGATTTTCATGCTAGAAAGTTTGGCCATTAAAGACTGGTAGAGAGACAGAGGAGTGAAAGAAAACTACAGATAGAAAAAGACAAGCTAAATAACCGAGAAAACAGTATCAGTTTATAAAGGAGGTTAGATACAACTCAGAGAAAGGGCAGGTTATGTTCTGTCGGATGAGTTAAGCCTTGTTTTTAAATTCAGATCAGTGGTGCTTAAATTCAAGGTTTCCAGCTTGGGGGGAAATCTTCATTTACTTTTAAAATACCTTCTTTATCATACATTAAGTAGAAAACATCTTATTTATATTATTGGGCATAGATGAATAGTGATGCCATTTGTTTGAAAATGTTAACCTGTGAGAAAAACTTACTTTGGTTGATTTAAGCTTTTTTTCATACTGAAGTCTCTCACTGTCCATTTCACTAACTTTTAACCTCAAATCATTGATCTCCTGAATCAGCCCCTGTCCAAGAAGAAACAAGAAAGTACATTAGGAAAGTGGTAACACAGTTACCTATACCTATAAAATAGCAGCTTGGAAATCTTAAGAAGTCACCAGCTCCTAGGGTTAAAGTTGTATGAATCAGATGAGACAAATGGAAATAAATGTACCTCCTTAAGAACGAAGGCATCTTTCCATTTAAAACATTCCTTTAAATCCCCAATGCGTCTGCCCTAAAGTGATGGGCTTATGAAAATAAAAGGTGAGTATAATTTTGATTAAGAAAGGTAGTGTAATATCTATTATTTGTCAGATATTTCTATCCTAAAAATGACTCTATGCTATTTCACAGAGTGCTATTTCTATTCTATTTCATAGAATGCTATTTCATATTTTAAATATACCACATTCTTTAGTAAAGCCATTTACCTTTTGAACCTTCTCAATGATACATGGCTATTTTAAAAAATTTGTAATTTCTTCCTTTGTCCACAAAAATATGGATTGCTCGTCAACCCAATATGGGAGAATGAAATGAAAATTAAATCCTTTAAGCCATGAATCCTTAAGATTCCTGAAACAGCCAGGGAAATGTTTTATTTTTATTAAGTGAATAACAGGAACATGAGAATAGTCAAATCAGTTTTAATTTTGAGGACTATTTTAATTATCGTCATATATAACATCACAAAGTTTCTCAACTATTCTCTATTCTCTGGGTATGTGCATACATTTTAGCAATAGTGTTGAATTTTTATTAGGAGATTATCAGGGATTGAGTTTACTGTAAGTTTAATGACAATTTTCAACTGGAAAGTGGATGAGGGCCCTGCAGTTCACCTAATTTTATCATTAGAAAATGAAAGAGAAACCAATCCTAGTGTTTATATGACACAACACAATTCTGCACCTTTTCTACTGCCACTTTATTTTAGTGCTACTTTTTAAAGGACCAATTTGCTCACAAAACTTGTCCAAGAGCCCAGAGAGTAGGAAAGGAAATTAGAGTGTTAAGCAATATTAACTCCTCCAAAAGAGACACTCAAATACCCTGCATGGGAGATGACTTATTTTACTACAAGCCACAAAGATCCCTACAATGGTTACTATATTTTTGCTTCTCTCTCCCTCTCCTTTTTTTTTTTTTTTTTTTTTTAAGATGGAGTCTCACTCTGTCACCCAGGCTGGAGTGCAGTGCCGCCATCTCAGCTCACCGCGACCTTCGCCTCCAGGGTTCAAGTGATTCTCTTGCATCAGCCTCCCCAGTAGATGGGATTACAGGCACCCACCACCATGCCCAGATAATTTTTGTATTTTTAGTAGAGACGGGGGTTTTACCATGTTGACCTGGCTGGTCTTGAACTCCTGACCTCAAGTGACCCGCCCTCCTCGGACTCCCTAAGTGTTGGGATTACAGATGTGAGCCACTGTGCCCGGCCAGCTTCTCTCTTTTTACAAAGACATGCATGTATTCCTGCATCACAAATTCATAGACTACAGGACAAAATTATCCACGAATGCCAAAAATTACAAGTAGAACAATGCTATATGAAATAAAACTTTGTAAATAGAAATTATTTTAAGCTTCCAAGTGTAATGATTCAAGTTCACAAAGGCTAAGAGAAGGGATGCTACAATAAAATAACACTTCCCAGTAAACCCTTAGGCTTTTAAATTGTGGTCTCTTATAAAATGGGGCAAAATATTACCTATCATAGTTATACAATTACACCTTAATAATGGCACAATATTTCACTTAGATGATATCTATTTTCTTCTTATGAATTAGGTCATGAACTGTTTGACATTATTCAGCAACATATTTGTGATTCCTCAACTAACAGGTCAGAATTCAAGTCTAAAGAAAAAAATCAGCTTTTCCCAGTTATCTAAGCTAATCATCCTTGCATAATATGAGTCCTTAGTGATATTCATCAATATGATCTTTCTAAATATATATTTTCCTACTTTCTCATTGCTAAGAAATACCATTGAATTCTTATCTGCTATTGTATTTTACAGCTTCCTTTCTTCTTTGCTCGTGCAAAGAAGAAACCACTGAAAAAAATGGAATTGTAAACTGGGATAATTTATCTGTTTTAACAAAAAACTACTCAACTATATTTCATGGCAATACTTTAAATATGGTCTAAATTTCCAACCTGAAATAAATCACATCTTCCCCTGACAACACAAGCTGGAAAATCTGGAAATGGCTCCCTAATGTAAAACTTTAAAAAACAGAATACAAACTATTTCAATCAATTTCTTATCAGAAGTTCAGTCCTTTTAAAAAAGAAAATTCCTGTTCCCTTTCTCTTTTCCCTTTCAGAGAATTCAGGGCTCCTGCAGGAACTCAGTCTCTGACATGTATGCTCTTACCACAAGGGGGCACTGTTGAATGATGCTAATCATCTCCCATTAGCAATTCCAGGGACAAGTCCTGAATCTTCCAAAGTTTAAAGACTTGTACCCTCAGTCCTTTGGAAATGCCTATACTTCTTCCCCATGCCAATATTTTCTTGGAAATTAATATCCAAATATAAATCTAAAATTCTAAGAGAAAGTTAAATATTATGGATTCATGAAACACCCAGAAAAATATTTTTATTAAGGGGACGATAACAAGAACATGAGAATATTCAAGTTAGTTTAATGTTGAAGATTATTTTAATTATTTTCATATGTAACATCACAAAGTTTACCACATATGCTCTAATCTCCGGGTCTGTGCATACGTTTTAGAAATAACACTGAATTTTTATTAGATTATCAGGGATTGAGTGTACAGGAAGTTTGATGACAAGATCACTTTGTATGTGATTGAGAGTGCATGAGTGAAACAATGAAAAAGTGGGGAAAAGAGATTTGATTAAAAAAAGCAGCCAAACTCAAGGGATATAAATATTACCCTAGGCGCTTACAACAATAAGTAACACATCTACTGCAATTTAGCCCCAACATTTGGTTAACATCTCATATACAAATTAAGTTAACAACAGGTGAATATTTCCCCTTGACTTTGTGGACGCAATGTAGAAGACCACCTCTATCCATATCTACCATCAATTCTTCCCTGCAGCAGAGCTAGCTCCACTGCCATGTTGCCCATCTGTTGACTGAGTTTTACTATTACTTTACCCTGCGACTATGGGGTTAGGACCTGACAAAAAGAGGGGAAAGAGGAAAATATCAAAGAGATTTTTAGAGAAAATACAAAACCAAGAATTTTAAATTGGGTAACTTTCTAAGTCCTGTTTTAAGAGCCCCAGCTTCTATCAAATGAGAAACATGCTCACACAGGCAACTGACAAAGAGTTTTAAAATTAAAACATGGCTGGGCATGGTGACTCATGCCTGTAACCTCAGTGCTTTTGGGAGGCCAAAATGGGAGAATTGCTTGAGGCCAGGAGTTCCATACTAGCCTGGGCAACACAGTAAGATCCTATCTCTTAAAAAAAAAAAAAAAGATTAAAACATGAACCAAATGAAAGACTTCCTTTTGCTATGGAGGAAGCAAGACATATACCAAGACTTTCCACTGTAATTGAATCTTTGACAGAAAATTTAATTTTGAAAATAGCAGTGGAGTAAAACTTGTTATTTCCAATATAAAGAACTTTCCTATGGTGGATAATGTATGTAATGCCTGGTATCATGCTGGCTTATAGTCAGCGTGAAATACATGATTGAAATAAAAACAGAAGGGAAAAATAAGTAAACCATTTTCTCTCCTCTCTCCTTGGTACCCATTTTCTAATCCAGCATGACACCCTTCCATACTCCAACCAAGGAAACAAAATAGGAAGCAAAAAGGAGGGGAGATGGCTCTCAGAGAAAAGAAATTTCTGCAACTCTTTATACTTCATTTCAAATGTATGTTTCAAATGGATATGCTCTCTGTCTCCATCAAAAACCAACAGAGAGGTTAAGAACTTGCCAAATGTCACAAAGCAAACAAACTAGGAGGCCTGAATTAACAAAATAGAACAAACAATAAAGCTTGTTAAGCCACTAAAATGGATACTTCAAGTTACAGAATGTACCCTGATTTTTGTAGAAGTACAGTGAGTCTTATTTAATTGGAATGATTTACATGTGGAACAGACCAAAAGTAGAATGCCAAATTAAAAGACCTCAAAAAAGCTCTGTCTGTGATTTTGTGAGTATAGAATGTTAGCATGTTTTCTATACAGATTTTCAAAATCCAATTACATAGTAAATAATCAGTGTGCCTAAATAATAACTACTAGTGAAACCATGTATTTAAGCCCATTATTTACAAAATTAAGAAAAACAGTATGGATGGACGGATGCTCCAAATATCGTAAAGTCAAAAGTATTTCTAAAGGTTAATAAAAAGATTAATACTTCATATCAAAAGTCTAAAAATAAAAATTGCCATTAGCATCTAGTGATAAAAAGTCAATGCAATGAAAGATTATTCTTAAAATGAAGTAGGATGATGGTACGTAGTAATTAACTGCCTTCCTTGCACACCTCCAGGGAATTTCAACTTTGCCCTAGGAATGTATGTGTGTCAGAGACAAAGACAGAGTGACAGAGAGAGAGAGAGAGGGAGGAGAGACTGTATCACTCACCTCTGTGTCTCTGAACTTATCTTCATAATCCAATCTGTCCTTCTCTACAGCTGTCAGTTTCAACTTCAAGTTAGATATTTCAGCCATCAGATCCAACTTCTGAGTTTCTAAGGATGTCCTACTTAGAAGCTCCTATTATAATTTAACAGATACATTCAAGAAGTCTTTTATTATAAACAGGCACGTGAATTTACCTCATTTATGATCGCACAAAGCAGCACCTATCAAGTAGAGGATATAGTGAAGTATAATTACTGAATCTACACACTTTTAAAAAATTATTCACTTGAGGCTGGGCACAGTGGCTCATGCCTGTAATCCCAGCACTTTGGGAGGCCGAGGCAGGCAGATCGCTTGAGGTCAGGAATTTGAGAACCAGCCTGGACAGTATGGTGAAACCCTGTCTCTACTAAAAATACAAAAATTTGCCGGGCATAGTGGCGGGTGCCTGTAACCCCAGCTACTTGAGAGGCTGAGGCAGGAGAATTACTTGAACCCAGGAGGCGGAGGTTACAGGGAGCGGAGATCGCACCATTGCACTCCAGCCTGGGCAACAGACAGAGATTCCATCTCAAAAATAAAATAAAATAAAATAAAAAAGAACTATTCACTTTAGTTACCCTCCTTTGAACAGAAATAAGCACATGTCAGTTTACTGAGGGAGACATATGTTGTGTAGATACACATGCATAAACCATATATATACTTCAGTCTGATGATAACATTGATGATGGTGATACTATGTTTGCTATGTGCCAGGCACCGGTTGTAACAAATACTATTTCAATCCTCACAAAAAACTTATCAGGTAGAAATTCTTATTATCCTTAATCAAAAGATGAGGAAACATAGTAACAGAGAGGTTAGGAACTGGCCTAATGTCATACAGGGAAAAAGAAAAAATAAAAACACAGCAGGAATGGAAACCTACGAGGTTTTGCTCAAGTGCATACTCCATCCATGACCTTACAGAGCCTCTCCTATATGTTAGATATTTTCTTTTCTACTTGTGTGGCTACATAGTAGGAATATACATTTATGGGGTATATGTTTTGATACAGGCATGCAATGTGTAATAATCACATCATGGAAAACGGGGTCTCCATCTTCTCAAGCATTTATCCTTTGTGTTACAAACTATCCAGTTATATTCTTATTTCCAAATGTATAATTAAATTATTATTGGCTATAGTCACCCTGACGTGCTACTAAATACTAGGCCTTATTCATGGAAACTATTATTTTGTACCCCTTCGCCATCCTCCACCTCTCCCTTCATCCCCACTACCCTACCCAGCCTATGGTAACCACCCCTCTACTCTCTATCTCCATGGGTTCAATTGTTTCATTTTTAGATCCCACAAATAAGTAAGAACGTGAGATGTTTGTTTTTCTGGGCTTGGCTTATTTCACACATAATGACCTTCAGTTCCATTCATGTTGTTGCAAATGACTGAATCTCATGCTTTTTTATAGTTGAATAGTACTCCATTGTGTATAAGTACCACATTTTCTTTATCCAGTCATTTGTTGATGGACATTTAAGTTGCTTCCAAATCTTGGTGGCTGTGAACAGAGCTGCAGCAAACTCGGGAGCACAGATATTTCTTCGATATACTGATTTCCTTTCCTTTGGGTATATATCCAGCAGTGGCATTGCTGGATCATATGGTAGCTCTATTTTCAGTTTTTTGAGGAACCTCCAAACTGTTCTCCATAGCAGTTGTATGAATTTACATTCCCACCAACAGTGTACAAGGGTTCCCTTTTCTTCACATCTTTGCCAGCATTTCTTATTGCCTGTCTTTTGGATAAAAGCCATTTTAGCTGGGGTGAGATAGTATCTCATTACAGTTTTGATTTGCATTTCTCTGATGAGCAATGATGTTGAGCACCTTTTCATATGTCTGTTTGCCATTTGTATGTCTTCTTTTGAGAAATGTCTATTCAAATATTTTACCCATTTTTAAACTGGATTATTAGATTTTTTACTATTATATTTTTTCTTAATTATAAAACACATGCTATGGGTGAGAGGAAACCATCTGAATGCAAAAAAAGAAAATTAAAATAAGCCACAATCCTATTGACATTTTGTTCCAGATTCTAATTACATAAACACTTTATATTGTGTGCATGTGTTTTGAGACTCTACTACTCTCAATTTTTTTTTTTTAATGTGCTGGTCTAAATGAATCAAGAAACTTACTGCTGCATCAGAGCAAACACAACATAGAAATGCAGCATCTCACATAGTTCAGCAGGGAAATCCCATCTTGGTTCTGGCCTCTGCACATACCTGCTGCAGCATTTCTTCTGTGGCATTCACCTTCTCTCTGTGCTCTTCAAGACAAAACTCCAAATCTCGAATCTTCTCTCCCTGAGCCTCCACCTGGTCTGTTAACACACTTACCTGTATTTAGAGCAAAATAATGCAATGAGTGAAAAAGAATTTGGGTCCCACTGCATACGTTATTTCTCTAAATGGAACAAAAAAAGGAATGATCCTACCATTCATACGGTTATAAAGAAAAAAAAATCTGAGAAGTACCAAGAAGACAGTGGTCCCTCACATTCCTATTTATATGTTGCTATTTGATTTAAGGAGGCCTATACAATTTGGAGAAAATTCGTGTAGATTAGGAATGTACAATACTTTTTGGTTAAAGCTACTTCAACCATTTATGAAAGACAGCATGTACAGAAGTTATCTTTTTAGGGGGCAGCGTGGAGATAGTATAAGAGAGGAAACAAAGTTAATGTTTGAAATAGAAATTATCAAAAATTTGATACTTCAAGGAGAATAAGAAAAAGAACCTGGCCAGGGGTAGGGGGGAGAGGTAGCATGCACGGTGGCTCACGCCTGTAATCCCAGCACTTTGGGAGGCTGAGGCGGGCAGATCACTTGAAGTCAGGAGTTCAAGACCAGCCTGGCCAACACGGTGAAACCCCATCTCTACTAAAAATACAAAATTAGCTGGCTGTGGGGGCATGTGCCTGTAATCCCAGTTACTCAGGAGGCTGAGGCAGGAGAATCGCTTGGATCCGGGAGGTGGAGGTTGCAGTGAGCCAAGATTGTGCCACTGCACTCCCGTCTCGGCAACAGAGCGAGACTCCGTCCAAAACAAAAACAAAAACAAAACCCAGGGAATTCAAATTCCATGAGCTCTTTGAAGATGACACAGATCATAGATGTGTTCAAAGTCAGGGGGGGCAACTCAATATACCCAAAGGTGCCTGAGGAGCTGTTGGGCTAGTCCTTCAACTCTAGTGCTTACAGCAGATCTTTGAGTTTTTCCTCAATAATCATCACTCAGTAAATATACTTCAATTCATTTTGCTCAATATACCAAAGAAAAATGTTTGTGAAGCATTTAAAACATTATGAAGAAGCAAACTCAAATTTAGCCCACAAGGAGGGTTCTAGTCACTGTTTTGTTTTGTCTCACACAGGGTAACATTTTTAAAATTGAAAAATTAAATATATATATTCTGATTTCAGATTCAGAAATATAAACTTACATATATTCAGATGTTATGCTATATTCATATATCTGAATTTCTGCTATATATTAAAATATACTTAAAAATCAGATCCAGTGAAGCATGGTGCTGCACACCTGTAATCCCAGCTACTTGGGAGGCTGAGGTAGGAGGGTTGCTTGAGCCTAGGAGTTCAAGACTAGCCTGGGCAATGTAACAAGACCCCGCCTCCAAAAAAAAAAAAAAAAAAGAACAGATCAGACAACATTGTGCCCGTATTCAGACTGGTCCTGCAAGAGCTGAGGATGATTAATGGTAGCTCCTTTTAAACTGGGTGTAAACACCATCATTCTGCCCCAATCCTCACCACTCCCTATTGTGTACAGATGGCTTATCAGGCTTATTTCTATTAGCAGTCTGATTGCTGCAAGCAATCTGAATTTGCCACCCCAATTTAAAAGGCTTTGTAAGTATGCTGCAAGGAAAGAACAGTATTTAAAAATCACTTGCCTGAAGAACGAGGGATTCTTTATCATTTTCTAAACGTGCCAGCCTTTCTTGATACACATCTCCGTTCCCTGGTAGGTGTCCATTTGTCTGAAAAAGGAAGTAATATGGGTAAGGCTGATCTTCTCTAAGAATGATATATCGTAGATAAATGAAAATCACAAGTGTTCTTAGTCCAAGGGGCCTGAATTGAATCTGCACAGCTGTCACTGTCAAACAGAAAATACGAGAATGCAATTTGGTTCATTTACCACAAAAGAGGTAAGACAGGCATGTTAAGCATATAGGCATGTTTTGCCAAAGTAAACAATTTCTTATCAAGCAGAAAATAATGACCCACAAGGAACAGTGGATACTGGTATTCTTCACTGAGAGCAGACACACACCCAGGGGCAGGCAAAGCTTTGTGAGTATGTAGGGGGCACCCCGAGTTGTTGAGGTCTGTCTCTCTTCCTCCAAAAGCTTAAACACTCAGGCCACAGTGACTTCCCCTGGTAGCGCAGACTAGCCTCACTTATCTCCATTTTAACACTTTTTGTCCTGATCTTATTAACTTGTGAGTTTGCTTCTTTGTATAACGTTACCTTCTATTCCAGGGCAGAGCCTATAATTCGTTTGGTAACCTCCCCAGCATCTGGCTCAGTGCTCTGTGTATATTGATGCTTACTATTTCTTCCCCTCCCTCCTGCCCCCCACACTTTTTTAAAAAAAAATCATGTTTCAGTATATTTATGCGTGGTATAAATGCCAAAGGAAGTATAGATTGAGAAACGATGTATAGATTGTTTCTTCCTCAGCTGCCTCACATGCAAGTCATGAAAAAGACACACAAAGAGGCTCACAAAGAACAGAAAACCTAAAAGCACCACTTTGAAACGTACGTAGTAGCATAAGTGGTGTCTCTCATAATCTCAACATAACCATAAGATAATGTAATCCCAATAGAATTTCCTGATTCTTCATTCAAATACAATAGAAATAAAAGCCAGCTGAAATCCGAAAGTGTTAGATGGGGCCACCCAGGGTTCAACTGAAAAAGAAAATAATACCTTCAGATTTAGAACCAGAAAAAATACAAACTGTATAACTTTACTGCCCAGGACACATCTGATGTGACATCTACTGTTTTTCCAGAATTAACTGATACCATTGTTCTATCTTTCCAATAAATGCAGTTTCTAGTATCAATTCTTGGAATAATAAAAGTCATGTGCTGGGAAGGGGGAAGAAAAAAAACAGGGCTTGAATGAAAAGGAAAATTTCAGAATGTTTTTTCTAAAAACTTTAGCATACTGAATACATTTTCCAAAAGGCCACTAAGAATCAGAGGCTAATTTAGTAAGGGTGCAATGCATATTTAGAGTGGATTAAAATTTTAAAATCAGCTGCTTTGCCACATACCTCTACAATTACCACGGCATAATTCTGCTCATATTGTTAACTGAAGTGCCCAGCATTAAATTACAAGTATTATGAAGAGTGTGATGGAGTGGCCTGGACAACTTCCATTCCTGGGGACTAACATAAAAATAAATTGTGCACAACTTCTCAAGGGCAGTTTTTTGGAAAAGAGCCAGGATGAATAACGCATGTTCTCAATCTTAAGAAAGTGCCAAGACAGGCCCTGTAGAGCTTTAAATTCCTTATTTTGATTATGGACATTAACAGCCATCTGTTTTTAAAATCCCATACAAGTAACAATAGTTTGGAAACAGATACATTTCAGTAAGTAGAAAAAAACTGCTGTTTAGTGAGGACAAAAAGTAAAACTGGCCAAGGGTGGTGGTGCATACCTGTAATTCCAGCACTTCGGGAGGCTGAGAATTGTGTGAGCCCAGAAGTTTGAGGCCAGCATAGGCAACATGGCAAGACCCTATCTCTTAAAAAAAAAAAAAAAAAAAAAAAAACTTAGCCAAGCTTGGTGGTGTGCGCCTGTGGTCCTAGTTACTCTGGAGACTGAGGGAGGGGGATCACTTGAGCCCAGGAGGTGGAGGCTACAGTCAGCCATGTTTGCGCCACTGCACTCCAGGCTGGGCAACAAAGCAAGACTCTGTCTTAAGAAAACAAACAAACAAACTGATCTTTCTTCTGGTTGGAGGAAATTATAGCAAGATGAGAGCAATGTTTCCTCCCAAGCTACTTTGTATGATATGGAAGTGAGGTGTTCCAAAACCAGTTCTCCAAAATTAGCCCCAAATAGAAACAGATACTGAAAATTGGCTCAAAATTAGCATATTTATTTTTCTCAGTACTGTATTGATATTTACAAGCACTCATAATGCTCAAGGGTAGTTTAGTATATTAAAAGTCACTATAGGAACATAAGGCAGAATTTAAGAGTGATCAATGTTATATCCTTGTGTTAACTTAAGTAGGTAAAGACTGTTCTGTCCACCTGTGTTTATATTTCTGCCAATTTTGTTTCCTTTGCATTAAGAATGTTGGCAGTAAGATCCATTAGGTAAATACCCTATTGTCTCTATTCTTCCTTCAACTCCCACGTTCTACCTACCAGGTCACTCAAAACCTCCCCATATATGGCATGCTCTTTCACACACTACTTTTATTCCTTCTGCACGGACCGTCTTTTCCCACCCTTTCTTCTTCTTTCCCCATTCCTTAAGGTCCACCTCTATCAGGGCTTGGTCTGTGAGGTCTTCCTTGAATTCACTGTTTGCTATATGCCAGCGACAGTATCTACATGAACCTTCATTACAGCAGGCATTACTCTGAATGCACTAAGGTTAGACTTGACTGCATACATGTCTCTCTCTTCTAATAGACTCTGCATTCTTTGCAAGTAGATTTGCCTTGGCATGTGACATACAGTGGGCGATAACTAAATGTCTGTTGAATGGAAGAATGACGATAGGTGTTCAATAAACACTAGTTGAATACAAGATGACTGCAGGTTTGGTTTTGATCTGCCCTTCTTGCTTCTCAGTGGGTCTTTATTTATGTGTCCTCTATAATCTGGTATGCACGCCATGGTTGACCTCTATCTAGACTGGCTCCTTTTTCCTCCTGTACTCTCTCTTCCCACTATGTTTAGGAGGTGATCTCAGAGCCTTTGTCAGCACCACGCTCTAACCAACTGAGCTAACCGACCGCCTGATCTCAGAGCCTTTGTAATGGACAATAGTTAAGGCCATCTTGTGTGAGCTCCCTTAGACACCTTCTTCCTCAGTGCGTAATAGTATAATATATATTACCTCTTATTTCTTTCCTTTCTTTCGTCCTGCAGGCTTGGGAGAACTGATTCTTAACTCCTTCCTGAAAGCTCATCATTCCACTTCTACTTTGGAACCTTGATTTCCTGTTTTGCTGGGACCTGTAATCACCACTTCTACTTATCATTTTCCATTTCTTCCTTTTAATGAGCTTTCTTCCATTTTCCTTTACAACAACTATCCCAAGGTTTTGTACCCAACACTCCACTCACCTCCCACTCCTCCCTCTCAGATCAATCTGTCTTTCATAACCCATGTCTACCTCCTCTTTACATGGTGCCATTCTCCTTTCCCCATCTACGGGCTGACCTTCTGGGTCTTGTCTTAAACTGTGCTCTTTAGTGTTTCATCATATTCTGCCTCAGGTAGATGACTAATAATTTTATGTGAGTTGGTCACTCAGCCTAAGTTTCTCAGTGCAAAACTGTCTTACGTTTCTTTTGATTCTTCCATGGTGCTTGTAAAATCCTGAGCACGTAACTTAAAATGTATTTAAGTATAAACTCTTGTTGAGTCGATCTGACTTCCACAGCATATTAGAGAAGCCTAAATCACTTTACCTTTCTACTTTAGCTCATGGTGCAACCCCTTATTGACCGCATTCAATCCAGCTAAGTCGAAATTGGAGTCAACTTGGGGACTTCAACAGTACAGTATCCAACCAATAGTGTGTATGCAGAGTCAGTGGGGGAGATATAACTCAACTGTAACATTGGTACTTTGATTTAATTAAGGAACTTATGGCCTCTGCCAGGTTTTCCTGGCACAATGGGGAGAAACACATCTAAAACGCTTTATCCCTCATAGAATTACAGAATCTTAGAGCTAGCCAGGAACCTCACCCGGAAAACGAATTCCCTGACTCTACATGGCAGGTGCTACACATAACATTAGAACACCATCTACTTTTCCCTTCACCATCTAAGTGGAAAGCCTTCTATTTATTTATTTATTTATTTATTTATTTATTTATTTTTGCAGTTGCAAGATTTAATATAGTGAAAACAGAGCTCCCATACAACGGGAGGGGACCCAAAGGGGGTTGCCACTGCCAGTTCGAATGCCTGGTTTATATCCCGATCATTGTCCCGCCCCCTGTGTTCTCAGGTGATAGATGATTTGATTATTTCTTTACCTCCTGCTTTTAGCCTAATTGGTATTTTAGTGAGCTCTCTTTACTACCTGATTGGTCGGGTGTGAGCTCAGTTACAAGCCCCGTATTTAGAGGTGGGTGTGGTCACCTTCCCCAGCTAGAAAGCCTTCTTTTTATATCAACTTCCTTTTAATTATGAAGTATTACAATCAAGCATAAAGACATAATAAATGTTAACATCTTTCCTTTGTGTCTGTTTAAAAAATGTTTTTTATTACAGAAAATTTCAAATAGATTTAAAGTAGAGAAATGCACGTGATGAAACCCCATGCACTTGCCATTCCATTTCAATAGTTATTACTTCACGGAAGGTAGGAGTCTCACCCACTGTTTTTACTTATAACATCATGCTGTGTTTTCCTTTGATTTTCTGGGTTCTATTGGTTTGCATTGGTCTACAGTTGTCTTTCCTGTTTCCCCTTTGTTTTGCTTTGTTCTTTCCTGAGCTCTGCTGTCCTGTCTAAATCCAAAATCAACATACAAGCAGTGATTTGCCACAATAATGCTTATTTATTTTATAAAACAGAAACTAATTTTGAGTGTAAGATTCCTAAATCAGAATGGTAAGTATCTAAATTAAAATGGGGAAAAGAAAACAGCCCCCTTTTTAAGGTCAACAAATGTTAAAGCATAGCTGGATTAGTAACACTGCATATACACAAATACACGCACACACCACATTCCAGCCAGTCATTATACTTATTTTTAAAACTAGTTATTAAAATTGTCACGCAGTCTTGATTTCATAACTCTGTTTTTAAACATTCAGGATCAAGAAAGGAAGAGTAAGGCTCAGTCCATGAAATCTCCTTTAAGTAAACATTATCTCTAGTTACCAAAAGAAATAATTACTATGACAGCATTTTGTACTCAGAATTATACCTCTGCCACGCATGCAAACATTTCCTGCATGCCTGCTCTCCACTAGACTCTGAACTATGAGGAGAGATTGAGATAAGACTTGAATCTTTCAGCCATGAAGAGCACAGTCATATTGCATTTGAGTTCAATACCATAATAAGGCATCTTACACCACTACTGTCCAAAGAGTCAAAGAACATGATATCAGTGATGCTGGAAACCAAGCAACCAGGCAGTGGCAGTACTCCGCTCCCCTGTCCTCTCACTGGGTGTGGTGGAATGAGGGCATGAGCTTCGCAGTGGGCAACCCGGGGGTGGGGGGCGGGTACATGTTTAGACTATAATATTACCCTAGTCATAGGTACACACCTAAGTCCCCTGAATTTGGGGAGGACAGAGAAAAAAGAAGTTCCCAGTGTTCCTAAAAGCGAAGCCCCAGCTCCTATCTCAGTATAGCAGCAACTTCATTCATTCAATATCGTGATTCACTCATTTATTCAATATTTGTTGAAAGCCAGCAATGTGTGACAGGATACGAAGATCTAGAGGAGGAATCTCTCTTCCACTTTGGGAAGGATAACATGAGACCAAGAAAAAGTCCCTATTGTTCTTGTCACATTTTCTTTCTTAACTCACTTTCCCAAAGGAACAGGGAAACCTCTTTCCCTTCAGTCCTAACAAATACCAGTGGCCTAGGATTCCATGAAAAGCACATCTTTTACCTCTGTAAACTAAGAATTCTGCCGATTTGATCAATTTGTTTTTCTGTGTCTGTGAACACTTTCTGTGGGAGTTTACTTGAAGACTAAGGGGAAAACTGCCTTAATTTTAGCTAGGATGTCTCAGTGAGGCACCGCATAACTCAGATAATTGTGATCACATATGGGATACAATCTTAAGATGTACCTTGTTTGCCAAGGCCTGAGAAAACATTTCCTGGAGGCACAGATGAAAAGCAAAGCTGGTCAGAAAGCAGCAGGGATCGGAGGGTGGTAGGACGGGGACTGCTTCGTGGGGCTGGGAGTCAGGGACTCAGGAAGAACAGCCAGCAGCCCTGCAGAGAGCATGTCCCGTGGCTGAACTCTTTTAAGTTATGAGTATTTTTATTTTTATAGCAACTTTTAAAAATATACATTTGGGATTAATATTATCTCACTTTTAATGTAAAAATAAGAGAGAAGGGTATTATGATGATTTAACAGGTCAGAAGCCAGTCCAGAACACCTCACTTCACCTGTTTACCTATCTCATGGGTGATGATGCCTGCTTTGGCGTTACTACCATTAGTATTCACCATTAGTATTTCACTCACTTTGTTGAAAATTGTATTTTTGTAATTTCTGCTGACTTTGAGATGGCCTCATAATTAAAACTGCCAAATAGCCAGACACCTTCGGGATTTCACCACCTGATCCTCTGTTGACATGGATCAAGGTCATGATCCTCAGTTAAAAAAACATTATAAGAATGTTCTAGGGCAACTCATCAAGTTAGACCTAAAGTAAGTAACTACTTGCTTAACTCAAACAATTAGACGTATTTTTCCATTTTCCTTCTTAAATCTGGAGCTTCATAAAGCAAGTAATTCTCCATTATTAATATCTGTGTTAACACATTATATTTCATAATTGAAACAGAAAATTCACCCTCAGTAATTAAACAAATATGTCATAGTCTACAGTTTTTTTTAACCACAGGAGACGCACTTCTGAATTTTAAAAGAAATTTGTTCATTTCCAGAAGCCTAGAGCTACACTAATAAATTCATTCTTATAGATTTAATGTCCCCTCACTGTAACAGGCTACTAGTGTTGGTATTTTATCACATTCAGTGTCTGATCATATGAAACAAACAGGCAGGAGCAATTAGCAGCAAAGAAATAACCTGCATCCTACAAGAAACCAGGGGATCTCCCTGGCCCAGGTAAAATGATAATTCCAACTGCAAATGCCCAGTTGCACTAATGAAAAGGTTAGTATCCATCTTAAAGTACAGGGCCTCTCAAGTTGGCCATCATTAAACATGAATGGAACCTTAATTATATGTCTGTTATTATTAACAGATACATAATTATTTCCAAAAATTTTTGAATTTAAGTTTTTCTAAAATATCCCAGAAGCTTCTCTTCAGTCAGAGGAATGTTTGTACTCTTTCATTGCAAGAAGTGAACTATGTATGGGTGGTTTGTAACCTAACTCCCATTGCAACTGGACCCAACTCCTTCCCTCATTGCAAAGGGTTGCTCTTAAACATTTTCCCTCTACTCTCTATGCTCTGCTCTTCAGTATTACCTTTCTGACAAGCCTTTGACCAGGCATATCAATAAGTGCTCAGCATATGTTAGTTCACAGGGTCCTTACAATCCTAAGTGGCAGTAACCATCATCCCCATTTTACAGACCAGAAAACCAAGACACAGAGCTTCAGACATTTTCACAAGGTCATATAAGCTTCAAAGACTTAGGGCCAACATTAAAATTCAGGTCTGCAGTCACTGCAGCCTGCATTTGAAACTGCCTAGATACAATCCTGCCTTATCATTCACTGCTTCCTTTTTTAAAACATCATAATCTCTTTTATTTGGGCAGTTTTCCCATGTTCAATATGAAGGGGGAATTTGCTAGGATTCTGTGTTCCTTAAATTCTAGGATGCTATCAATTTTAATTTTTTATTGTGGTAAAATATATATGTAAAATTTAGCATTTTAACCATTTTAAAGTGTACAGTTCAGTGGTAGTAAGTACATTTACATTGTTTTGCAGCCATCACCATCATCCATCTAATTAACTCTTTTCATCTAGCAAAACTGAAATTCTATGTGCAGTAAGTATTATCTTCCCATTCCCCACTCCCCTCAGCTCCTGGCAGTCACCCTTCTACTTTCTGTCTCTAAAATTTGACTATTCTAAGTACCTTATTAATAAAAAAAGGAAAGAAGGGAGAGAGGAAGGGAGGAAGGATCCGAGCTAAAATGTATACATATACCCATTTTAAGATCATAAAACACATCCCAACTTCTGAAATATTAAATTGGAAAAATTTAATATTATCAGCAAATTACTAAATTATAAGTATATAATCTTCTACTTGTTGGATTCCCAATGCTGGCCCAAGTTGCTTTTTGGTTCTAAAATAAAGTCTATCGTGGTAGGTGTGTGGTGACAACTTAATTTCACACCTATGCTTTTGTGGTTCCAAACAGCCAGCCCTCCTCTCTTCTTCTTGCTTTGTTTTTTGCCTTTTGCTGTCTTTCTTCTTTCATCCTGTCATTCTCTGTGTGCTTGAGAAAACACACTTAATTTGGAAGGTTGGGGGCAAGGTGAGGAATTCATATAGATAAGTTAGATGGATAAAAATAAATTTAGCAACAACAACAAAAATTCCTTATCTCTCTGGATCTACATCTAGTTTATTTTGTTATTGTTACTTTTAGGATAAAAACGGAATCTTCATTAGTTCTGTAAAATATTTGTCATTTTGTGGATTCTCAAGGTTAAAATGTCAAATAATAAGACACAAAGCAACTGAAAACACAGATCAACAAGCCATTACCCATCCAAAGAATAAATTTAAAACAACTTCCATTCATTCAAACATGCAATCCACTTTATCATTCATGGAGCATCATTCATTACAAATATAACTACTGAGCCAGGCATTCTTCTAAGCACCAGGGATACAGTAATTTTTTTAAAATAAGGGCAAAAATCTGATTCCTGATGCTTACATTCCAATTGGAAAGACAGAAAATAAATGATATAAACATCACAAACACATTGCACATAAGAAAATGGTGAATGCTAAGAACAAAATAAGCAGGGAGATGTAAGACAAGGAATAAATGGGTATAATTTTAGTTAGGGTGGTGATACAAGGCCTCACTGAGAGCATGACTTTTGAGTAAACACCAGGAGAATGTGAGGGAGCTAGCCATGCAAATATCTGGCGAAAGAGCTTTCCAGGCAGAGTGAAAAGCCAGTGCCTGGAAAAGCCAGTGCAAAGGCTCTGAGGCCAGTGTACCTGGCATGTTTAAGAATCAGTGAAAAAGCCACTGTGCTTGGCGTGGAGCGAATAAGGAGATGTGTGACAAGAGATGAAGTCAGAAAGTCATGGGGGGCAAATCCTACGAGGCCTTGCAGCCCACAGTAAGCACTGTGGTTTTTACTCTGAGTAAGATGTGATGCCACTGGTAGTTTCTGAAAAAAGGAGTGAGTGTCATGATCTAACTTATATTCAGATGTAACCATCATTACTTTTTATCATTTCTGAAAATACTTTCACAGAACAGATTAAGCACATGTTAATGGACATGTTTTAGACACATGTCAAAAGCTGAACTACAGGTACGCTTCGGCTACTATTGCCATTGGTGGCCTCTGGGTGTGGGATAGAAATACGTTCTTCTAACAATAGTAAATTCCTTTTTCACTGCATGCTAAATGGTCAGAAGAACATGGAGTAAAGAAGGGGTGAGATAGGACATTGAAATAGACTAAGGAATATGTCAGGAAACACCAAGTACAGAGCATGAAGCAATCCCCAAAGAAATCAGCAAACCTGGACCCTTAAGTCTCTGGAGGAGAAATCTGTAGAGCAAATAGAAAGTATAATAGTAAGGCATTATGTGTTTTAACAAGTAAAATAACTCCAGTTTGTGTAGCTGCACCCCCACTAAAGGATAGATTGTACTATTCGCTCTCAGAAACGCAGAGGTAAACCAGGTGGGAACACAGAGTATTCAGCACAGGACTGGCTGGGAGCTCTAATATTTGTGTCACATCATATGAAAATGTTTTAGCTGTAGGATGTACTCTTAAGGTTCCCAAAGCAAGCGGTTTTCATGTCTACCACAGATCATAAAGTAGATCACGATTCTTTCATACAATTCTTATTAGCTTTTATATCAACACAGTTAACTCATAAGCATATGAGTGCATCTTACTGAAAATTGAATATCCTTTAAGCACAAAATATCTCCTTTCCTCTGTCCTCCACTGAATCTGTTTTTGTGACATTCTTTAGATTTTATGTATTCATCACAGATTAAAACCACAGTATTTCCAACCGTGCCCAGACAAAGGGTAGCTCTGCCACATCTTCAATTTTTGAGAAGGATGCCTAGAAAGCGGCCTCATTGTTCAGTGAGTAACACCATTAACCCATTTATGCTGGAGGTTGTGATTTTTTTTTTTTAAATGAGACCTTGGCGATGACTTTGAGCAGGATATAAATAACTCCCACAAGCTTAGCGTTCCAATAATGGAACACTGCGCATAAATGGGTTAAAGGCCCAACTCCACAATTTAATTCGGGAACTGGAACTGAAATGATTGCCATAAACCACTAGATGGCACTTCCGGTCAAATACTGCTGTAAATCCTGTTGCTTTTTGAAAGTCTTTCATCATGCTTTCCATTTAGAATTGCTATTGGATCCTTTATGGTGAATAACCCAATATGACTGAGAAATCATCTATCATGTGCAAGATTCTTTCCCTTACAGGACTATTTGATTTAAGCCACAGTAGGTCATTCAGGCACAATCTAAAAGCCAGTCTGTTTTTATGGGCAGAATCAGGTGACCTGTTGTTGGTATTTACAAAATGTACACTAATAGCACTTTTTAAAAAGTTATCCTTAGAGTCAAAAGAAAATTAAGATATCTTAAGTAATAAAATCGGAGCACATGTGTTGCCCTAAACTTTTCTTGTTCTAATCAGCTATTCTATGTTCTAAATTTTGGAATAAGCAACAAAGGATTTATAACAGAATTTGGAACAGGCAGACCCTACCATTTGACTCTGAAGCCATTCAACAAGCGTTTCTGCTGTTGAATCTGGGATCTGGCATCTCAAGCCTTCTTTCTCATCTGTTTCCATCATCTCTAACAATCCACGCAGGTCTTCCACAAGGTGCAGAGCTCGCAAACTTCCCATGAATGGAGAGGTGGGAGATTGGCAATCAAAAATCCCATTGGAATATTCCAGAGCCTTAGAACCTAAGTTAAACAAAATCACAGAGAGAGCAATGGGATTTATGTTAGATAAAAATACCAAAGCCGAAGGCGGTAAACCAGTCTAGTCACAGTAAGGAACAATCAAAAGAAACAGAAAAAAGAGAATTCAATCACATAAATCTCTCCAAGTCAGAGTTACATGGTGCAAAAATTAAAACCATGTAGTTAGTGGTAAATATCCATGGTCCAGTTCGTAACTAGGAGGCCAATCATGGGGTATAGAAAGAAAAAGAGCCTGGTGGGCTTTGGTGTGAGGTGTGCTGGCCTCATGAAGATGATGGATAAGAAAGTGGCAGATCAGAAAATACAAATATTAGACCTGGTCCATTCCGGACCAATATTGGACCAAATGATTTCTGGCTTAGAAAAACTGTGGATGAAGGGTTATGAAATGAACCCAGATGAAGACTATCAGAGTAAATTCTGAGGAAAGATAATGAGCTCAATGCATTAAATGATTATACTGGTGTGCCCATAGGACATTTCTGGACAGATATCTGGTTGGAAATTAGAGATAGGAACTGGAAGCTTAGCAAAGAATTGGGAAGGTAAACACATGCGAACGAGCTAAGTGCAGTGGCGTGTGCCTGTAATCGCAGGTACTTGAGGTGTGAAGATTGCTTGAGCACAGCATTTCAAGGCTGCACTATGCATGTTATTCACAGGTAATCATGCCTGTAAATAGCCACTACACTTCAGCTTGAGAAACATAGCAAGACTTCCTCTCTTAAAAAAAAAAAAAAAAAAAAAAAGATATGGCCGGGTACGGTGGCTCACGCCTGTAATCCCAGCACTTTGGGAGGCCGACATGAGTGGATCACGAGGTCAGGAGTTTAAGACCAGCCTGGCCAAGATGGTGAAACCCTGTCTCTACTAAAAATACAAAAATTAGCCAGGCGTGGTGGTGGGTGCCTGTAATCCCAGCTACTTGGGAGGCTGAGGCAGAGAACTGCTTGAACCCAGGAGGCGGAGGTTGCAGTGAGCTGAGATTGTACCACTGCACTCCAGCCTGGGCAACAGAGAGAGACTCCATCTCAAAAAAAAAAAAAAAAAAAAGATACGGGAGTCATTGGTGGAAAGTGAATTTTGAATTCAAGAAAACAGATCAGAACATTCATGTTCACTGGGTAGAGAAGTGTCCCTCAAAGTATGGTCCACAGACCACCTACACCAGAATCACCTGAGATGCAGATTCTTTATCCTTGATTAGAAACCTAGGATGGAACTGAAATTTTTGATACTTTAAAATAATGTTTGAGAATAATGCTGGCAGAAAATGGAGAAGAGGAACAAAGATGAAATTACAGGGAAGCAAAAGGCATAGGTCTAAAAAATGAAAATAAAGTGAAAAGATAATATGAAAGTTGTAGTGAAAAAGCCAAGTGAGGAGAGTAAATGTTGTGATTCTGTCTTTCACAGGATGCAGATCACCTGCTATGATACCATCCATCTGCTCCAACGCTGCAGCCAACATGTCACTTGCATCACTCATCATTTTATTATTTGTCAGGGGCAAATTCCAACCCAGATCTGAAAAAAAATAAGGTTATCATTACATCCATTAAATGACATAGGCTTGCTAGTGGGTTTCTAATTCACCTTCAAATGATAACTCTGCTGTGTAGTCAAATATGGAAGAAGAACTTCAGTAGTGGAGTAGCAAGCTGTGGCCAATCACCTACTGTAGCACAAGACCACATGCGATACCTGTATCAGTTAATAAAGAAGATTCCATTCTTGCACTTGAGGTGTTTAAAATCCACTAGCATGGTTTCCATGCTGTTCTCTAGAACTCTAGGCCTCTGTAAAGGGCAACAGGGATGGCCATGGAAGCTTGCTGAGGGCCATGACAAGCACTGGCCAGACAAGACTCCTTTCTCCCTTTACCAGCCCCACCCAATCTCTGCTCTCTTAATTTCATTTATTTTTGTTTGTTTTTGTTTTTTCTTTCTGTACAAGGGCTTAAGATTTGTCTAAGAAAAGGATTCACTAACACATATACTAAATGTATGTGCACACACACACAAACACACACATACACCCCTACTGATACTAAACATTTTGTAGTGGAGCCATAGCTATCACATATTGAGTGCCTATAGTGTTTCCTACACATTTACATAAATTATCCATAATCCTTAGTCAACAGCTCTATAAAATGTGTAAATTCATCTCCATTTTATAAATGAGGATAAAAGATGTTTGATTTTTGCATGGAAACACAGCAAAGTAAATATAGCGAAGTTCAGTTTCTAACCTAGGTCTGTCTAACTTCCACTATAATACATAATTTCTGTTTACCTGATCCTATCTGAAGATGGGTTTATCCTGAAATTACATCACAATCTACTCATTGGTTTATCTGTTAAAAGATATATTGAGATAATGCTTGCAAAAACTTTGGTCATTGGCAGGAAAAAGTCAAGATAATGTGATTTTCAGCATTCATTAATGCATTTCAGGTACCAGACTAAGCACCCAGTAGATTCTCCCAATAGACCCGAATAAAGCTCTTACTATGTTATAGATACTGTGATAGAGCAAATACCTGGGAAATAAAGGGCATGCTGTTTCCCAGAAACCTTTGCCCTCTGTTTCCAAGCAGCCAAATCTCACCACTTTATTTTCACAAATATATTTATAGTTCCGGTATCAACTCCTTGGATGAGTTCCCAATTATGCATTCATTCTAACATAATGCCATATAATTGTTGTAAAATATTATTTTGATTTAAAGTCATTTCACCTAAGGATTTTCCAGAACTTTACTCACTTCCAAAGGTGAAAAATATCACTACCATTTATCTGGAAATACTACAGCATGAAAATACTCAAGGTATGTGTCTATGGTTACCCAGGAAACAAGGAATCAACAAGTTAGGTTATGAACCTAGGTCATTCCAAAAAATTTATTCACACACTCAGCCAGTGCACCATCCAAAGAAGCAGGACACATATTTAATAACCACTTATATATGTGTCTATATAAAACAAAGAGACACATACCAGGCTCAGCTATAAACATGGGAATACCAATAACACAAAGTAATGCCCATGTTAGAAAAACATATCATCTCACTAAATTAGAAAAAAATATTCGTCTTTGTTAGCAACTATATTTTGTGTAGAGCATAAACAGTTCAAGTCCGATAGGTACAATAGTTACCGAGTTCTTCTCTGTTCTATTTAATGAGCCTTTCAAATGCTATTATATGAAGGTATGAGACAATCTAGACCATGCTTTTCAAAGTAGTGAAGAACTAGTTCTTTAAAAATTTCCAATTCATTGGAGACGAATCCCTTCATTTAATAAAAATATGATGACAATGTTAAATTGCTATGAAAGTTCAAAACGTTAACTTTTAATCTCTATATCATGTAGCAGCCTACATGTACTAGTCAGGGAAAGACAGTACATACAAGTAATAAACACATATGTAACATGGCGAAGGTGGTAGGTGCTAAGGGGAAAAATGGAGTAGGATAAGGGGGTCCAATTTGGAAGGCTTTGCAAATTAAACAGGTAGCCAGGGACTGGCATTAGAATCAAAGGCCAAAGACTTCTCTAATAAGTTAAAAGTAGTCAAATCAAAATCGTCCAGTTCAGTGGTATTCCAAGTGTAGAATTCCTAGAAATCAATGAAAAAATAGGAGGCATGAGGATATGAACAATCATTTGGCAGAAATGTTTTCAACCAATAAAAATATGAAAAGCTGCTTAGTATCAGTAATAAATGAGGAGTATAAAGGAATGTGATAATGTTTTATAACCAATTAGTGAAAAAAATTGACATAGCCAAGTGTTGTGGAGAATATGAATTCATAGAACCTTTACTTTTTGTTTGTTTTTTGAGACAAGGTCTCACTATGTTGCCAGTTGACTGGTCTTGAATTCCTGGGCTCCTACAACCCTGCAGACTCAGCCACGATTTTATTAAATCCAAAGGCAGTAATGAAGGAACAATGGACACATAGGAGAAAGAAAAATCAATAGCCAAAGTGGTAGACTTAAACTGAAGCATATAAATAATCGTATTAAGTGTTGTGTAAGTTGGAGTAAGCCATGGGTATGCAAAGGCATACAAAGTGGTATATAACAGCAGAGACTCAGAAGCAGGAAGAGTGAGAGGGAGGTGAGGATGAAAATAGGTACAATGTACACTATTCAGGTGACAGAAGCACTAAAATCCCAGACTTCCGCTATACAATTCATCATGTAACTGAAAACCACTTGTACCCCTAAAGCTACTGAAATATAACAATTTTTTAAAATAACATTTTTAAAATTACATTAAGTACAAATGCAGTAAACGCTGATAAGAGCCAGAGATCATCAGATTAGTTTTTTAAGTCCTAATTATGTGCTGTTAATAGAGACTTTAAATATAAAGAAATATAATAGTAAAAGGATGAAAAATGAGATAACATACATATGTAAGCACAGGAAAGCAGGAGCGGGTTTATTTAAAAACTACACATCAGGAAGTATGACTAGAAAGAAAGATATTTTACAATGATAAGTGTTAATTCATCAGGAAGTCATAACAAGCACAAATGTTTTTGCAACTAATAACAAAGCTTCCAAATACATGAAGCAAAAACTGATGGTGTTAAGGGAGAATTAGACAAATTTAATCCACTTATATTTAACATAATATAGATATGGTTGACCTGGTTGGATTTAAATCTACTGATAAGGTTGGATTTAAGTCTATTGTCCTGCTATTTCTTTTCTGTTTGTCCCATCTATCATTTGTTCTTTTACAACCTTCTTTAGAATTGACAGGTAAGGTAGGAAAAAAAACTCAGTAACACACAAGATTTGAAAATATTATCAACCATCTTGATCAAATTCAATTTATAGAACAAAACACACAAATGCAGAATATACATTCAAGTCTACAAGTTATATTCACCAGGATAAGGCATATATGCAAGGCCACAGAATCAGTTTCGATAAATTTCAAATGGGTTTTAAAGAACTACACAGAAGAGTAAGAAACACACAACCTGAAGTGGTGAAGTACTAAGAATAGACCATCCATATTTATTAAAATTCTGCCTTGCCCATGGTTTGAGCTATTTTAGAGGCAGCCTAATTTATCAGGCATCTGTGTTGACAAAGCTATGTTAATTTTCAGGGCTAGGTCAACGTATTTTTAAAAATGAAAAGGCTAAATAAAAAAGCTTTAGAAAATCCCCTGGTCTCTAAAAAGACTTTCTTAAGTCCTCATAAATATTTCTGAGAGGAAGATTCCCTGGGCTTCCTCACATAATTAATATAATGAAATATTATTCTAATACAATGGAATATTATTCTACAGTAGAGAGATGGAACAAATAATACATGCAACATTATGTTGGGCAAAAGAAGCCAGACAGAAAGGACCATGTACTGTATGATACTTTTATATGAAATTCAAGAACAGGTAACCTACGATAGAAGGTAGAGCAATAATTACTTACAGAAAATGGTGAGTGACTGAAAGGAGACACCAGTGGAATTTCTGGTCAGTATCTTGATTGAGATATAGGTTACACAAGTTTATACATTTGCCAAAACTCATCAAACTATGCAATGGTCTTTAAAGCTTGTCAGGCATAAAGAATCCCAATGTCAATCCCATTTAAGTTCTTTATTTTAACTGGGAAGGAACCACTCATTGTTGGCTAAATGTTGAAAGCATAAAATTCATTTAGAACTAATTTAATTGGGAATGCCTTTGAAACAGATGAATTAATAATACCGTTTAGCTTCTAACTGAGGCAGATGTAATTGGTGCCCTCTGTAATTCCATGCATGCCAGCCCAACTTTTAACTGTCCAAGATTTCAGGGAGCCCTCTGCCATTGGATGTGGTGGTCTGAAAATGCTAGAGAATTAATGTCCCTTTAATATTTAAAGTTATCAGCTTTAAATACTCCAGCACACTTTCCCCCTAGAAAGAGCAAATTCTGATTCATGTAATCTACATTGGTTCCCAGAATTATCCAGACAATTAAGATCTACTCAGAGTGGTAACTTGTTTGATAATGCATGATTTATCAGTTCTCTTCTTTATTTCTCTAAGTCTTTCCTAGGATCACTTTCCAAATAAAACTTTGGTATTTGAAAAATTAGGAAAGAGAAGTTGGTTGTTAGAAATTAGAAATAAAAATTCCACTTTAAAAAAGAACTAAATAATGAATGAAGTTGGACATGCATGGACCTCTGCATCTAAGACTATGATGATAATATGTCATGAATCAAGGATCATGAATAATCCAATTATATGAACCTATGGTCCAAAATAAAAGGCTCAGAATATCCAGCTCCATTTCTTCCCATTCTTTGCTTACCCAGAAATCTGCTAGTTATAGTTGAGTTCTTTGGGTGGACAAAACCCCTTAGAAAATTACAACTTCACCATCCAAGGCCAAGCACAGTGACTCACACCTGTAATCCCACTACTTTGGGAGGCCAAGGCAGGAGGGTCGCTAGAGCCCAGGAGTTTGAGACAAGCCTGGGCCACATAGTGAGACCCTGTCTCTACAAAAAATTGTACAAAATATGCTGGGTGTGGTGGCATGTGCCTGTAGTTCCAGCTGCTCAGGAGGCTGAGGTGGATCACTTGAGCCCAGGAGCCCAAGGCTGCAGTGAGCTGTGATTGTGCCACTGCACTCTAGCCTGGGTGATAAAGAACCTGTCTCAAAAGTAAAGAAAAAAAATCCTAAAGAACAAAAAAATTCACCATCCAATAATTCTCACAAAATAGCAAATTTATTTCTGGATTCTAAGTGGCTAATATATGCTTCTTTGAATGACTTGCTAAAGAAAAAGGTACCAGGAAATACATTAATCACTACCACAACAAAGGAGTGAAGCTGGGGTTCAAAGTCATAGTTCAAACTGGAGAAGCCTCTTATTTGTTGGGTGATGTAAACAGAGAAATGAGCTCCGTTTGCAGGAGTTCTTGGGCTACTGGTTTCCTATTCCAATGGCTTAATAAAAATAAATGTAGGAAAGTTTTAGATAAGCAAGCTCTTGGGGATAAGATTCAAATATTATAGTAAGAGACTAAACCGGGGCGGGGGGTGGGTAACCAACAGAAATATGTTCAGGGTATATTTCAAGTTTGGTCAGGACCCATTTAGAGCAGATTTGAATGGGGTAAAATATCAAGGAAAGTTCCGGGCATGGATGTGGTGGCTAAAGCATTGGCAGGACACCATAATTTTTTGCACGGTTGCTGACTAACTGATGTTTTAGGTCAGGCTCACTGCCCAGTCTTCCTGTGAAGAAAAGAAAGGCCATAAGAAAATTAGCAAGTTTCTTTTAAATTTTTGTGAGAATAACATTTGTCCTAGCTTTCTCAGCTTTCTTTAGGTAAAATGCTTGGGCTTGAAAGAGAACCCTGAACTTCTTACCCAAGATAGATACAATTCACTGAGACTAAGACACTTGAAAGAAGGAATCTTCAGAGAAAGGGAGAATGTTCACATACATTCGACTATGCTGGTAGAACGCCACAGTATTCTGTGGTCATTATGAAAATAGAATATGTTTTCACACAAATTACTCATACCTTTCTCAACAGTTTAGTTTTTTTATTTTTTTTCTGCCAAGAAGCTGTCTCAGAAGGTTAATCAATTACGCAATGATTGCCAATGTGTGCAGCAATACAATCTCAGCAAAGAGAAACTATCTTAAAAACAGAGACATCATATTTGCTAGCACAACAGGGTGACAACTGTCAACAATAATTTACTGTACATTTATAAATAACTAAAAGAATTGGAATGTCTGTAACACAAAGAAATGACAGATGCTTGAGGTGATAGATACCCCATTTACCCTGATGTGATTATTATGTGATGTATGCCTGTATCAAAATATCTCATGTACCCCATAAAGGCACATACCTACTATGTACTCATAAAAATTAATTTAAAACAAAACCCAAACCAGATCTAAAGGGAGAAACAGGTACTAGTTCAGTGGTTTGGAACAGCAGCATCACCTGTGAGCTAGTAAGAAATGCAAATCCTGCCAGACATGGTGGCTCACGCCTGTAATCCCAGCACTTTGGGAAGCTGAGGTGGGCAGACCACTTGAGGTCAGGAGTCGGAGACCAGCCTGGCCAACATGGTGAAATCCCACCTCTACTAAAAATAAAAAATTAGCTGGGTGTGGTGGTGTGAGCCTGTAGTCCCAGCTACTGGAGATGCTGAGGCAGGAGAATTGCTTGAACCCAGGAGGCAGAGGTTGCAGTGAGCCAAGATCGCACCACTGCACTCCAGCCTGGGCGATAGAGTGAGACTCCATCTCAAAAAAAAAAAGAAATGCAAATCCCTAGACCCCACCCTAGGTCTACTGAATCAGAAACACCAGAGGCAGGCCCAGCAATCGGTGTTTTTCCAAGCCCTCCCACTGGCTCTGAGGCGCACTCAATCACTAGACTCACACACACTGAGGCCTGTCTTTCCTCCTTGGGACAACAAGCCCTGCCCAGATGAGGTGGGAATTGGCTGACAAGGTAAATAAGGGCAGAATTCCTCTCCCCACGCCTCAGCTTCTTACTTTACATCCAAAAATAACAGCTCCGAAGAAGCCATTCAGGTTTTAATTCAAAAAACCTCTCCCTTTAAACCTCAACCACTATAGGTACTTATGCGTGCAACATTTTAGAGATTCTTAAATACAACCCTCCTTGTTTTCTGTTTCTCTGCTCTGTATCTGTCATCACATGTTTTTTTCCTCCCCAATCTATTAGCCCTTCTCACCACCAATCTGCTCTAACATCCCTAGAAAATTAATTCAGAATCACTTGGAAAGGGCAAAACAAGGGCAGGGGAGGTGGCGAAACCAGAAAAGGTAGGGGATGTTGGCAGCAGGGGCGATATCTAATGTTACAATACTTTTTTTAAAAAATGGGGTCTGGCTATATTGCCCAGGCTAGCCTCAAACTCCTGGGCTTAAGTGATCCTCCCACCTTAGCCCCTCCTGAGGAGGCTTCAAACTGTAAAATAAGGCCAGGCGCAGTGGCTCACCCTGTAATCCCAGCACTTTGGGAGGCCAAGGCGGGCAGATCACTTGAGGTCAGGAGTTCGAGACCAGCCTGGCCAACATGGGGAAACTCTATCTCTACTAAAAATACAAAAATTAGCTGGGCATAGTGGTATGTGCCTGTAGTCCCAGCTACTCGGGAGGCTAAGGCAGGAGAATCACTTGAACCTGGGAGGCTGAGATTGCAGTGGGCTGAGATTGGAGTGCCACTGCACTCCAACCTGGGCGACAGAGCAAGACTCTGTCTCCAAAAAAAAAAAAAAAAACTGTAAAAAACTGTAAAATAAGTATAGAATGGATGATATAACTGGAAATTTGAACAGTGTGTATTTGATATTAAGGACTTACTGTCATTCTAAGGTTATTAATAATGCTATTATACTTATCTTTTTTGAGTCCTTATTTTTTAGAGACAAGTTACAAAATACTCATGGATAAAATGATACAACATTTGGAATTTGCTTTAAAATAAAATAGAATAAAATAAGGGTAAAGATATTAATAAAACAAGATTAGCCATAAGTTGATAATTGTTGAAAATGGGTGGTGGTATGTAGGGGTACACTATACTATTCTATCCATCTATACAAATATTTTTTGAAACAGTCTCATTTTATCGCCCAGGCTGGAGTGCAGTGGCGCAAACATGGCTCACTGCAGCCTCAACCTCTCTGGGCTCAAGCAATCCCCCCATCTCAGCCTCCCTAGTAGCTGGGACTACCACACCTGGCTTATTTTTGTAGAGACAGGGTTTCGCCATGTTGCCCAGGCTGGTCTTGAACTCCTGGGCTCAAGCAATTTGCTCACCTCAGCCTCCAAAAGTACTGGGAGTAGAGGTGTGAGCCACTGCACCCAGTTGGGTATCCTATCTATATTTTTATATATTTGAAGCTTTCCATAATAAAACGTTTCAGTTTTTTCATCCATGTATTTAAACCACAAAATTTTCAACACCTTCAACCATGACATATTGTCTTAGATATTTTATTTCTCTATCATAACCTCAAGCATACTAAGGGCTCACCAAATATTTATAAACCAAATAATAAAACACTTGTTACTTTAACCACCCTCACAAATACAAACACACACATGCACACGCTATTCAGGAAATGGAACAGCCACTCACAGAGGATTGTAAGGCAGAGTACAAAAGAGGGCGTATTAATGACAATACATTAGTAAAAGTTACTTCTCTTGTTCACTAAAATGAAACGCCACAAAATACAAAGAGGCAAAGCTAGTAAGTAATCAAGTAAATGAAGCAGCAAGGGAAAATAGGATGAGGTAAAAGGAAATGAGCCTTCTGGCTCTCTGCTATTAATGCTTAGGAATAACCAGAAGAGAGTTGATGAAAAGTTTCATACAATAAGCCAAGATCTTTTACTTCTCGAATAAAGGATGCTGCTGCTATTGAAAAACTGATGTGTATTAAATGTCAGTAGATTTGAAGATCTTGTGATAAGTTGTGACAAGTTGAAAGAAAGCTGCAATTCTCCATATCTACTCTTACTAGCTATTGTTATGACTACACGGAGGAGTTAGGAATTTGTTCAAGGTCACTGAATAAGTGAGATTTGAGTCTAAAAGCCATATTGTTCCCACATATGCCTCTCACTCATTTGGTAGTTTCTAATCCAAACCATAAACTATGTACAGGACTGCCGGCCTCCCACCATACTGCAAAGACATGCCCTCCTTAGAAGACACTTCTGCCCTCTCACCTCTGTGCCATGACATGCACTGATCCCCCTACTGCTTGGACCCTCTTCTTTGTCCTGGGACACATGTTTTTCAAGGTGGGTCATGCATTCTTTCCTCCAAGGCCAGCCTGACCGCCACCTCCATGACAGCCCTGATTTTACAGTGATTGTCTCCTGGATGAAGCTGTGTGCTCCTTGAAAACAGACTGTATTTCTGCTATCTGCTCCGCATCTTCTAGTGTGGTGGACACCAAATGCTTGCTGTGTGCAGCTATGACTCAGTGGCTCCGCAAACACACACACACTCTGATGTCTTAAGTATCCTGGCTCCCATATGCCCTGTTTTGGCTGATAATATCACCTTCCTCTTAGCTGCATAAGCCAGAAAACTACATCTTGACCTTTACTTGTTTTTTTGTTTGTTTTGTTTTTTTTGAGACAAGGTCTTGGCTCTGTCACACAGGATGGAGTGCAGTGGCATGATCGCGGCTCACTGCAGCCTTGACCTTCTGGGCTCAAGTGATCCTCCCACCTCAGCCTCCCCACTAGCTGGGACCACAGGTGGGTGCGACCATACTCAGCTGATTTTTAAAATTTTTATTTTTAGTAGAGGCCAGGTCTCGCTATATAGCTCAGGCTGGTCTCACACTCCTGAGCTCAAGCAATCCTTTCCCCCTTGGCTTCCCAAAGTGCTGGGGTTACAGATGTGAGACACTGCACCGAGCCATGACCTTAAATTTTAAGATACATTTAGATAAATGCGATCATTATTATTAGCCTTGCTATCCACAATCTTAAAAACTGAAATTTCATGCTCTTTGAGATGTAGGCGAATCAAATTCATTGTACTATTTTGGAATGACATTATTCCTAAGAGTTTGCAAACTTAGTCCCCAGTATTATGGAGGAGTATCAGCGGGTCTGTTTCAACTTGTTATTGCTCTACCCACTCTAACTCTAACCTCATTCTTCCCTTCTTTTTAACTCTTTAAAACCTGGAGACTCATCTATCTCTATTTTCCTTCACAGGCCTACCAACCTAATGTATGCAGGCTACATGGACTGCTTCCTAGATATAAGCAGTTCTGGGATATGTATACCCATAGGAAGACAGGAGTGAGCAACAGCTACTCAAAGTTGTGAAGAAGAAAAGAATAATAAATTCCTATACATGAGCACCTTCTAAAGGAATGTTTTATAAACCATGGGTCACGACTCCTAAAATTAGAATGTACTGAAATAGAATTATTAGACTAAAATCAGTATTTCTTTTTATTAAATAGACAACAAAAGGCTATTTCATCAGGAGTAAAGGTTAAGCATTATCGTGTGAAAATTTTGATTTGATTATTCAGACACACACATACACACACACATACCTGCAACAAATATTGATTGAGGGCCTCCTATGCGCCAGGTATTAGACGCAGAACAGTGAAAAAGACCAAGAAAAGCGAAGCTCTGCCCTTAGGGGGCTGACATTCCAGTGGTTTCAGAGTATGTGCGTGTGTGTGTCTGCACAGGTGTCTACACATTCATGTGTTTTACAGCCTACGAATGCATACTTTATACTGGGTTAAAAACGTTTGAAAACCACTGGAGTGAAAACCACTGAAGTGGCATTGCTTAGAATATGGTCTGTGGACTGGAGCTGGTGCACAAACTGTTACCGGTCTACTGTAAGTACAGAAATTGAGAATAAATGTTTTAAAAATTACATCGCAACTTGGCCTTGCTGTGATATCCAATTATGTGATAATTCTGCTGGCAACTCAATTTTCTTTTTAAATTGAATTTTAGAAAATGAATCAATTCATGATGGAAAAACAAAATGGTCTTTCCCAAGAGATGGTTTGAGCAGCACTGCTCTGGGGGGGCAAACTGGCCAGGTGTCTTGGGAGTAGGTTACATCACACTCTGATTGGAAACTGCAGCCCTGGACCACAGCTGTAAAAAGGTGCAACACAGGGAGCAAGAAAACCCCAACAAATGGGGAGGATGGTCCAGGTCTGTTCTCTTTCCACACATATAAAATGATGAAGACAATTAAACGGCAAGTGGAAAACTGTTAGCACCGACAATAAGGATGGGCTGCTAAGTTCAGAAGAGGTGACACAAAAACCATTTCTGGTTGCGTCAAATTCACATCAGTTGCAGTCACGTAGTTGGACTGCTTATATGTCTAATCACAATGGATCATATCAGCAAAATGAGTCTAATTTCAGGTCTGCTTTAATTACAACAATAAAAGCTATATATTTTGTGTTAAAGTTTCAGTTTGTCACATGGTCAAAAACTCACTGCATTAAAAAGCTGCAAGAACTTGTGAGCACATAAAATCGATTGGGAAGAGTGGTAAAAACTGTGGGCAAGGAAACAGTTTTGTGGAGGAATAAGTTTTTATAAATAATCTTATAAACTCAACAGTTTGTCTTGTAGGTAATTTCTGTTGGTTTCTATTCCAACTGGGTGTCAGTTACACTCTTGGCCATACAGTAAGAGGAATGCCAACACTGCTTGTTCCTTTATAGCATACGTGCTCCTGGCCAGAATTACCAGTTTTCGGCTGTGGGAGAAGAGAAATGAAAACCAGAGCCCTGAAACTTCAAAATATATTCTTAACATTGTTATTTCCTATTACAATATTAAGAGACATATGGAAAATTTGTACAATTAACGAATACTGAGCCAAATACTAAGGGGTAATGTAATGCTTTTCAAATTATTCATATTTCAGTTCTGAGTGAATAGCACTAATTGCTGGCTGAAGGGAGGAGTAATGAGAAGGAGGAAAGTAAAGCCAAAAATTATTCCCCAACCCAGGAGTTGGCAAACTATGACCTATGGTCAAATCTAGCCCACTGCCTGTTTTTATAAAGTTTCTTTGGAACACAGTCACATTCATTCGTTTACGTATCATCTATGGTGGCTTTCATGCCACAACAGCAAAGTTGAGTAGTTGTAACTCACGAAGCCTAAAATATTTACTATCTGGCTCTTTGCAGAAAATGTTTCCAGCCCCTTCCCTAACCTACCTTATCCTACAGCCTCCTGAAAGTGCACAGACTCTTCTCTCATTCACCCATTGATTACACAATATTTATTAAGTACCTACTGCATATCAGGCACTATTCTAAGTGATGAAGGTACAGTAGTGAAGAAAAAGAAAGAAAATAGAAGAGGAAAAAAAGTAAAAAGTTGTTGCTCTGATGGCGCATACATTGTAACGGCAAGAAACCACAAAAAATAAACAGTTTAAATATATAGCAGGTGAGAAGGTGATTGATAAGTGTTATGGGAAAAATAACGAAGCAAGCAAGAGGAATAACATTAACATTAGCTTACTCTGTACCGGGCACTGTTTTTAGTGCTTTTCATATATCAATTCAATTAATCCTTACAATAACCCTAAGGACACAATACTTATCCCCACTTTATTGGTGATCAAACTGAGGCACAGAAAGTGATCAAACTGAGGCACCAAGTCACACAGCTAGAAAATGATGTGAAGTCAGACAGTCTGGCAGCAGAGCGCATCCTCTTAATTATATACCGTGCCAGCTCTTTGTGCAGAAAGGGAATGGCAGGCACTTAAAAGTTTTGATCAGATAATCATGGAAGGCCCCACTGATAAAGTGACATTGATTAAAACCTTGAAGAAAGTGAAGGGAGAAAGTCACAGAAATATCTGAGAAGAGCTTCCAGGGAGAAACAACAGTAAATGCAAAGGCCCCTAGAAGGGAGAGCTTCATGTAGTTGATGTTTGAGGTTAGTGGGCCGGAAGCTGGTGAGCCAGAGGGTTAGTAGGGAATGTGGTCCCAGAGGCACAGAAGGCGTGGTGGGAGTGGTGGGGTAGTGGAATCTGGGGCCTCCATGGCAGCCAGGCTTTGACTTCAATTGAGCATGGAGATGGAAGGCCACTGGAGGGTTCTGAGCCAAGGAATGACATGATCTGATTTCTGTTTTAAGAAGTATCCTTCCTAAGAACACACTGCAGGGGTGACAGAGGTAGAAGCAAGAACAGTCAGAAAACAACTGCAACAATTCAGATGAGAGGTGTTCTATTGGTGGCTCGGGTCAGGGTGTGAGCAGTAGAGATGGTGATGGGACACTAGCTATGTATGTATGTGTGAATACACACATAGTAAATATGTGCGTGTATATATATGTAAATATATATATAAAATGTATGTATGTGTGAATACACATATAGTAAATATATATGTATATATATAAACGCATATTGCTATATATTCTGAATACAAAATGTATATTACTATACATATTAGGATGCATTACACATATGAATTAAGTTATAATTTAGAGAGTGAAATGCACAGATCTTTACTGCACAGTTTGATGTGTTCTGACAAATACATACACCTATGTAACATACCCCTAACAAAGACAGCAACGTTTCTATTGCCCTGTGTATATTTTTGATGTAAATGCCAACAGAACTGGATATAGCATTTGGGAGAAAGGACAAACTCAAGACTATGGCCTAAGCCATAGGAGGATGGAGTGGCCATTTACTGAGGCAACTAACTGCCCACTCTCAACTTCTGAGTATGACAGCATTTCCCTCATCCATCAAAGGAAGGAAACAGGAGGAACTATAAAAATATCTTCTGGGTGAGTCATTACCCTGTCATCCTTTACACTGAAATTTGATGAAATACAGCCAGCCCTCCATATCTGTGGGTGCATCATCAGTGGATTCAAAGAACTATGAATAGAAAATATTTGAAAAAAAAATGTGTCTGTGACTAAACATTTACAGACTTTTTCTTGTCATTATTCCCTAAACAACACAACAAAGATTTACCTAGCATTTATATTGTATTGGGTGTTATAAGTAATCTAGTGATGATTTAAAGTATACAGGAGGATATTCTTACGTTATAGGCAAATTCGATGCCATTTTATATCAGGGACTTGAGCATCTCTGGATTTTGATATCTGTGGGAGGTCGTGGGACCAACTCCCCGTGGATACCCAGTGACGGCTGTGCCTGGATCTCGTATATAAAAACTGAATGTCATGGCAGAATACTCAAGGAAGATTACCGCATCATCAAGTACTCCTATAGCACTTGTCTCTCCCCACACCCATTCTCTCTCAGCCTCTGTTACCAAGTACCATATGGAACCACTGGTTATCTCTAATAGATGTTATACTTGGCTAAGGAAAAAGTGTATCTCTGGCAAGCAGCCTCACTTAACCAGGTCCTTGGAATGTTGTCTCTACTAGATCGAGCTTTTTAAGGACTAAAGACCCACTCTTAAAATTTCTCTATCAAGTCTATGGCAATGAAAAGAGGCAGATTCTGTAAAATATTTTGAAGAGATTTATTCTGAGCCAAACATGAGTGACCAACAGCCTGTGACACAGCCCTCAGGAGATCCTGAGAACATGTGCCCAAGGTGGTCAGGCTACAACTTGCTTTTATACATTTTAGGGAGACGTGAGGCATCAATTGATACATGTAAGATCTACATTGGTTCAGTCCAGAAAGGGAGCACAATTTGGGGGAGGGAGGTTGGTTAGTTCCAGATTATAGGTAGATTCAATGAATTTCTGATTGGCAATTGGTTGAAAAAGTTGTTATTATCTAAAGACTTACTATCAATAGAAAGGGATGTCTGGGTTAAGATGAGGGGTTGTGGAGACCAAGGTTTTATCATGCAGATAAAGCCTCCAGGTAGGAAGCTTCAGAGAATAGATTGTCAATGTTTCTTATCAGACTTTAAAAGATTATTCTATCAGTAATTCCAAAAAGGAAGAGGGAATAATGAGTCATGTTGGGCTCCCCCTTCCCATCACGGCCTAAACTAGTTTTTCGGGTTAACTTTGGAATGCCCTTGGCCGAGAGGAGGGGTCCATTCAGGTGGTTGGAATTTTATTTTTGGTTTACACTTACCATGGTGATCATGAAATAAATAACAACTATTTGTATCCATCAAAACAAAACTATTCCTTTATCATCACCAAACATGCTTTGCAGTACTGCATAGGAAAGAATAGAATATTAATGGACTTGTTAGACTCTGACTCTTTCATGTCTTAGAGAATCAACTTAGATTTTGTTTTCATTTCAATAAAAGTTCTGACAACCCGTAACTTTCAGGAGAGAGGGAATGAGGGAGGCAGAGAAGCAGAAGAGAGTAAATGTGTTGAGTTGTCTTGACAGGAACTTGAAAACTTGCTTTTACCACAGCTACATGTTGAATGACGTGGGCAGGACTACTAAATGATCAATATAGTCAGGATTTTCCATATTTTACTATGTCTCATAGGACTAGTGCTCCAAAGTGACATGAATAAATTTATACATTTACTCATATACATACATATATATAGTCAGCCCTCTGTATCCATGAATTTCATATCTATGAATTTAACCAACCACAGATTTAAAATATTCAAATAAAAAAAGAAATTTAAAAATACAGTAGAGCAACTATTTATATAGCATTTGCATTGTAGTAGGTATTCTAAGTAATATAGAGATGATTTAACATATACGGGAGGATGTGTGAAGGTTATAGGCAAATACTACATCATTTCATATAAGGAACTTGAGCCGCTATGGATTTTTGGGATCCTCAGGAGATCCTAGAACCAATCCTCCATGGATACCAAGGGACAATTGTACTTTATTCACAAAGTATTTCTCATTTACCTACCATGTACCAGAAACTGATCTAGGAACTGAGGAGCTTCCATTTGATTGACCGTCTCCAATTCTGTATTTGCTTCCAATTAAGTCCATCTTGTGGACCAGGTGAAGGGATCCCACCTGCCAAGAGACATACCTTTTCCCTAGCTAAGTACAGCATCTGCCTTATTTTTAAGTGGCACCTCGAAACTTGAGTATTCTAAGTGATCGGGGTATACATTCTACTTAATGGGGTGTTTATTTGAGCCTAAAAACAAGGCTGCGGAACAACATACTTTTCAAATTTTTGGTATTTATGCCACCTCTATTGGATGTCTTTGAATTATCTTCATATAAGGATGCTTCAATTCCTGCCCTCCGTTAAAGAATAATAGAGTGTTAAAAATTTATTTTTCCACATGAAACATCTTGCTGCCTCTTGATTTAGCTGTACCAAGCACAGCCAGAGGAAGTTGAGTTGGCTCCACTTCAAATGCCTGCTGTCTAATCTTGACTGGGCACTTAATGTTACTCAAGAATCCTTTTATCCATCATTAGTTCCCTCCCTGTCACATTTCTCATAATGGCTGTCTCTAAAAATTCCTATAAAACTCTCCCCTAACCTGTTCCTATTCCTCCAACACTTAATCTCAGCAGATTACTCCAGATCCCCCCACACTGAGAATCTCAAAGCCAATCCTGGGGAACCCTCTATCTAAAGCTCCTTTGTAGACTTGCTTGTCTGTTCTTGGCCCCTGGCCTTCCATCACAGGAAGAGTCTCCGCCCTTTTATTCTTGATCTCATGCCAAGCTTTCAGACAATTATTCCTTCACTCTTTTACATCTTCAATCTCTTCCATTCCTCTGTTTCGTTCTGCTAAACTAAGAAATATGTTGAAAACCTTCTGGATCTAAAAATCCCAGCCCCAAACAAACAAAAAACACTCCCAGACACTTCCCTCACCCTTCCTGTGTTACGATCCAGTGCTTACTCTCCACAATGATGCCCTTGGAATGAGTAGTCACACAGTCTGCTCCACGGTCCCCTCCAATCTGGCTGCCACCTGAACATCACCCCCAAAATGCCATCAAAGATCATCATCTCTTGAAGAGATTACAGGGCTACAAAGTAGAAGAGGAGGGATTCAAACAGAACCAAAAAAAAAAAAAAATCTGCAAACAACCTAAATGTCCACCAGTGGGGTTCTCAAAATATACTGATAAAACTGAGTTCTGGAAATTTTGGGAAGAAAGCACAAAAACAGCCAGATTTTTAAAGAAAAATATCTCTCATGCCCTATGTATTATGCTTGAAAACAATGCAGATGGGGTATAAAAAGGAAAGGAGGGAAAAGAGGAGGGAGGAAGGCAGAGAGGGAAAAGAATTGAGAACGGAAAAAAGAAAACAATAACAACTAATATTTATTAAGTGCTTAGTAAGTACCCAAGCGATTTAGAACAAACATACTATTATTCCCTTTTTATAGAAGAGGAAAATGAGGCATGGAAACATTTAAATGTCTCCCCCAAATTGCCACTTTCATGCAAACTTTGCCTTTATCCGCCAGATGACTAGTGATATCTGAGTTATCCTGGGACAATTCTTTTGGGGGAGGGCTTGGGTCTCAGCTGAGGCCACCAGGATGGCTGAGGGCAGTCACCAGCAGGGATTGGAGTGTGGCTGGTCCCTGACCCTGCCCTGTGGACACCATTTTCTTCCCTCTACTCTGCCTCTTTTGTGGAAAATGATACCACTGGGAGTTATGAGATGTTACAGAGCATATTGCTCAAACAAATTTTCCAGGCTTCATTTTCCTTGTTTGTAAAATGAGATTAAACCAGATAAATGTAATCCTTTTTCCACATCTATAACCCAAGATTATTACTGTGAAGTTGGAACTAGATGAATCATTACCTTATTATAGACTATGCCTATAAGCAAGTACAGGAATATTTGACTCAACTTTTAAGTGATTGCTTTGTGCTAGTAAATACCATAAATTCCTCCTTGAGGAAACACAGGCACATCCACTTAGTCCCTTTTTATCTTGGAATCCAACACAAATTGGTCTTGAATTCCACCCACCCCTCTGTTGGGTGTGGACATGCATTTTGCATGCATGATTATGGTCTTTTTGATGTTACCCTTTGTTTGTTCTCTTCTACTATTATACAACAAAACACAAAGTTGGAGTGCCATTTTTTAACGTCTTAACATCCTACTGAAAACATGCGACACGGGAATTTTCCAAATAACTTGTATAATTTCCTGGATTTTGTAAAGGGAGTTAAAGCTGGATAATAGGATCTTAAGAGATATACACTCTGCTGAGGCTTTCGGGGTCTAAAGAGTGGCAATAAATATGGTGAGCAGCCCAAGCTCAGAACCCCCATGGTGTCAAACCTTCCTAGGATCTGCCTGCAGGAACTATAGTTTTCTGTGGCTGGATCTCCTATTCATGATTCATTCATTGGGTTAATGAACCAAATCAAGAAGTGTTTCTCAGATAGCCAACTTACAACTAGAAGGCATTAATACCAGCAAATACCACCAGTTGCTTCTTTTAGTTAGCATGGAATTTTTCTGTTTCATTAATTAATTAATAGCAATTGTCATTTTGAAGTTGTGGAAAATAAATCACCCTAACATTTATTTCAATATAAATGCAAGAATCTTTGATTCCGGTTATATAACAATTCTTTGTTGACGTAAAACCTGTCATAGCTTATTTTTTTTATTGAAAAAATTCCTCCCAAAGGAAAGCTCTATTGCATTGCAGGCTGTCCTTTCTTTTTCTGCCTGTTTGAAAATAGCACCTGACAGAGAATGAGTAGAAAAATCTGCAGACCGGCTCTCTCTGCCTATACCCATCCCTGACAACTGGCCCATTAGTAGCTTAGGAGTCTGGCAGTAAAAGGAGGTCTGTTCTAAAAGCTAAGCAGAACCATGAACATACTCCAGGACTCCTTTGTACATGCTGAGGCTAGCATCACTATTCAGGAGCTCACCAAGTTTTTCTTAATTTGCTGAAGGCCTCAATGTGTAAGCAAAAAGTTAAAGAAGTCGTGGGCTGGGAGGTCTTTTATTCTCTTTTTTTTAAATACAGAGTCTTGCTCTGTCACTCAGGCTGGAGTGCGGTGGCCCAATCACGCACGGCTCACTGCAGCCTCAACCTCCTGGGCTTAAGTGATCTTCCTGCCTCAGCTTCCCAAGTAGCTGGAATCACAGGTATGTACCACTACACTTGGCTAATTTATTTTATTTTTGGTAGAGACAAGGTCTCCCTGTGTTGCCCAGGCTGGTCTTGAACTTGTGGGCTCCAGTGATTCTCCCGTCTCAGCCTCCAAAAGTGCTGGGATTACAGGCATGAGCCACCATGCTTGGCCAAGGATGTCTTAATATAGTGATGAGAGGGGAAACTAACAGCTGCCAGGGACAAATGTCTGCTAAAACCATTTTACCAGGAGATAGGAAGAGAGATTAGTCCTAGAGTAGCCACCCTGACTATTCTGGACCTGGGGTGTGGAGTCCGAGGAGCAGTGCTGTATGGACGTGTGTGGGGAAGGCAAGGTCATTGTCTTCCCAAACGATGGAAATGGGAGCTATTTGATTGTGATCTACCCCAAGAAGAGAGGAGGTGAAACTAAACACAAGAAAGTCCCTCGTGCTGGAGAGCTAGCTCACAGGACTGACATCAAGGGCCAAAGAACTACTGAACTATTGCTGGGCCTGACACTTCAGGTCTCTGAGTGAATTTTTTTTTCTTTTTTTTTTTTTTTGAGATGGAGTCTTGCTCTGTTGCCCAGGCTGGAGTGCAGTGGCGAGATCTGGGCTCATGGCAACCTCTGCCTCCCAGGTTCGAGCGATTCTCCTGCCTCAGCCTCCCAAGCAGCTGGGATTACAGGTGCATGCCACCATGCCCTGCTAATTTTTGTATTTTTAGTAGAGATGGGGTTTTGCCATGTTGGCCAGGCTGGTCTCGAATTCCTGACCTCAGGTGATCCACTGCCTTGGTCTCCCAAAGTGCTGGGATTATAGGCATGAGCCACTGTGCCTGATCTCTGAATGAAATTTTTAAAACATCCTTACATCTAAGCTCTGATAGCATATCTACCCTGGAGAGAGTACTTCTGTCAATTCAGATATTGGAATTTATGTGTAATATCCAAGGTTTCTTACCTTCAGAGAGGTCAAATGCCAGAACCATCAGGTCACCAGATGGAAGATGGAAGGTCTGGGCTCCTCTCTTGGCTACCCAGCTCCTTGGGAGTTTCTGTTTTCCTCTAGGATTGTCTCCAACAGAAGCCAGGCATGGCAATCAGGGAGAGTCTAATAGCAGCTTATGAAGGGGTTTTGGTCTTTGGCACTGAAATTATTCAGATCTAAGAGATGCTCTCAAACCACCTAATTTCTTCTGGAGAGATGGGGTACCAGGCATTCCTCTGCTCAGATACAATCAATAGCTCATGCTATTCCACCCTGCTACAGGCTTAGAGAGGTATGGATGATGATGATGATGATGATGATGATGATGATGATGATGATGATGATGATGTGTATTATCTAACCCACCCTAAATTCTGTTTTCTGAAGGGATAAGACGTTTTATTAACAGATTACTTATATTTTGGAATATACTTGAGGAGAGACAAAATTTGACCCATTTAATACAAAAGGGAGAAAATCTTCCATTCCACCTGATCTCTTAGGATAGGGGGAACAAAATAGGATTGTATTTCAGGGCCCAGAAGCCTAAGAGGGTACATAGCAGTCACATTAGCACATGACGTGCTGCGGGAACAGGGAGTGGGGTGAGTTTTGAAGTACAGGTGGAGCCGGGCGCTGTGGCTCACACCTGTAATTCCAGCACTTTCGGAGGCTGAGACGGGAGGCTCGCTTAAGCCCAGGAGTTTCAAGACCAGCCAGGCAACATAGTGAGACCTTGTCTCTATTAAAACAAACAAACAGTTAGCTGGGTGTGGTGGCACACATCTGTAGTCCCAGCTATTCAGGAGGATCAAGTGATCCCAGCTACTTGGAGGATCACTTGAGTCTGGGAGGTTGAGGCTGCAGTGAGCTGTGATTGCACCATTGCACTTCAGCCTGGGTGACAGAGTGAGACCCTGTCTCAAAAAAAAAAAAAAAAAAAAAAACACCAATAAAGTACAGATGGAGCATACAAGTATGACTGATGCCAGTGTGCTGCAGAGAGAGAGGCTTGGCAGATACCTTGACCTCCCAGAAACTGGGAAAGGCCCAGAGTAGAAAAGGAAGATAGCATAAAAGGTGCTTCAAGAACCTGTACCTCTGACGGCATCCCTGGACAACATCAGAATGACCTGATAGAAAGTCAGCTGCAAGTTCTTGCAATAAACATTCAGTCCAAAGCACTGGAGAGCTATGAATGTCAAAACTGCACAACTAAACAAGGCTAATGTGGAAAATGAAGGATATGCAAGAATGGTTTAACTAAAGCAAGGTGTCCAGTGAAAGCACACTACAGATCAACGAATTACATTTAAAATCCTCAGAACTAGAATATTAGACATGTTACACGTCATGGACTTGAGGGGGAAAGACGTGGTCCCCTTGTTCAAGGTACTGCTGTCATATTTGCTTTCATTTACCTAACATTTTTTGGCCTAATGACTCATGAAACAAATGAGAGAGAGAGAGAGAGAGAGAGAGAGAGAGAGCACAGTGTTGACTGCAGAACCAATACCATGGCCCTCTGGTGGGTCGGATCTGGGAAAAAGAAATAAAATTCAACTACTTTATGGAAACTGGTTCAGTTTATAGACAATTACAAAATAAGTATAGCTAAAAAGCAAATAAAAACAAAACACAAAATAAATACAGCTTGATTTCTGAGGCTAATTTGTGTTGCGGTTCAACTACGGATGATGTGATGTGTTTAATTATGTCCTTTCAAAATTTATATGTTGAAATCCTAAGCCCCAGGACCTCAGCATGTGACCTTATTTGGATATAGGGTCTTTATAATCAATTTAAACAAGATTATTCGGATGGGCCCTAATTCCAGTATGACTGGAATCCTTATAAAAAGGGGAAATTTGGACACAGAAATATGTGCCCAAAATTCAAGATGATGTGAATGCAAAAGAAGACAGCCATGTACAAGCCAAGGGGAGAAGCCTGGAACAGATCCTTCCCTCCTGGCCCTCAGAAGGACCCAACCTTTCCAATACTTTCAGCATCCAGAACTTTTCAAAGTGCAGCTGGCCTGAAAAACCCAGCTACAGCGCTATATAGGCAACAATCTGCTGGCCACAATATATTCTTTTCAGTGACAACATTCAACCAACTGTCTTTCATGCCCCAGTAATGAAATTCAATTAGATATAGCATATTTGGCAATTCCAGTATCATAACAAACATTTACAGAGTGATTACTTGCTCCCAGATTCAAATTCTGTTCCTGCTGAGAGATCTGGCAATGACCTCCAGAGAGTGTCCATTAAAGTTTGAAATTACAAAGGAATTGTGCACGTGTGGTTGTTTTTCATACTTTTCCTATTTTCCCCACCTCACCCCTAGTAAAATTTAGGCACTTCCATAGATACAAAAAAAAAAAGAAAAATAACTGAACTCATATTCAACATGGAGTTAAAAACGAGAAACTAAACTGTGTCTAAGTCAAAGACAAAAGTATAAGTAATAAGCAAAATCATAGCAATATTTATTCAGTGTTTGTTCAGGGAGAGGTTCATGCTAGGATCCTGGCAGCGACACACAGATATATGATATACACATCAAAGCAATCTAATGATTGATGGATAGTTTTATACTAGCAATGAAACTGCTTTTAAAAGTGATCAGTTTTAATTTGTATAGGATGATTCATGCTCAGCAAGACTTAAGTCTCCTCCCATGTTTTCTGCTGCCAGGACTCAAATAATTCAAGCCATTTCCACAAGAGCAAACATGTCAGATGAAAAAATGTTGTGCCTCTCCAATGAGGCCTTCCTCCACACAGTAAAACACCATAGTCTGGGCGCTTTAAGTGCTCAGTGCCAAACTTAGATGCCAGCAGCTAGAGACATTCTGGGTTGTAAATCACACTTGGTCTTCAACTCTGAAAAACAGCTACAGAGCTAGCAGTGTAGACACAACCATGCTGGCTTGGAAAGGCAAACATACAATGTCATCCTAGTCATGCAAAGAACAACTTTTACAGCCTCATGGTAAAAGCTTTTCATATTAATTATTATTATAAAATCACTACTGGGCTACAAGGGAGTTCCAGAAGTTGTCCATAATCGTTCAGCTTCTAAATAAGACAAACCTATTTAGACCTGTTTTAATTTGGAAGCAAACCAACTGACATCTCCAGAGAAAGTCACCATTCTGGCTGTGCAGGTCATGTCCTTCACAGAGTACCTCACCCTGGGTGCACAGACACCAAAATCCAATCCACACAGCTCGGGGGCTGCATTCACCTGGAGGGGCACCATTTTCTAAATTGCACAGGCTCGCTAAGGACAAGTAGTGGTTCTTTCCCCCAAGACCTTGTTTTCAAAAAGCAATAGACTGGGGCCATTTGTCAGTTTTAATCTCAATAAGAATGTCATCTGCAAGTGTCACATTCACCCTCTTCTCCATGGATACCCCTGGGATATTCATCTAGGATTATCTCAGTGAAGAGCAGTGGGTTTAAACACCTTTAGTTCAGGAAGTGAAACAGTCAGTGGGACTGGAGTGTAGAGAACAAAAGGGAAAATGGCTGCAAATGAGGCTGAAAATGTGGGTGAGGCCATGTCATGCAGGGCCCATGGGACCATTTTGAGAACTGAAGGATTATCCTAAAAACAGTGGGATGCCATTGAAGGGTCTTAAGTACAGGGTTGACTTGATGTGATCTGTGTTTCTAAAAAAAATCTCCCTGCGTCTTATACAATAATAACCAGAAGGGATCCCGAGAAGATGTGGGAAGAGCCAGTTGGGAGTTGGTAGACTGGACAAGGTGGAGGTAGTGAAGGCAACAGAAGTAGACAGATGTAACATATGTTAGGAGATGGGACTGATGGGACTTTCTGAGTGACTGTATGCAGGAATGAAAGTGTGTGAGAGAAGGAATGACGTCCAGGATGAGGCCAGCCTGTGGTACTGAAAAGATGAGCAGATGAGGATGCCATTTCTAAAGAACACTGGAGGAGGAGCAAGTTTGGGGATTTACGTCATGAGTACAGTTTTAGATTTGAGACTTCTATAAAGTAGTGGATACCTATGGTTTTCTAAAATAAAATCTGAGACATGCAGTTCTGATCAGAGTTTTAGAAGTACTTGGCTACATGCTGAATATAAGATTTGTAGTTCTCGGATGCAGCAGCTGTGGCCAGGCAGCCCAGTTTCGGGAAGGCTCTCGGTGCACCACAGCCTGCAGACACCCAGCCCACACCCTCCATGCCGCCAAGATGTCCAGGAGGAAGGTCAGCTCAGCTAAGTGTCGGTGAAGGGAGACCCCGAAGAAGAGATCTGCAAGGTGGTCAGCTAAACCTGCTCCTTCAAAGCGAAACAAAGCCCAAAAAGGCAGCAGGAAAGGATAAATCTTCAGACAAAACAAAACAAAACAAAAAAACAAATGAAAGCAGAAAAAGGAGGAAAAGAAAAACAGGCTGAAGTGGCTGATCAAGAAACTAAAGATTTATCTGCAGAAAATGGAGACACTGAAAACAAGGAGAGTCCAGCCTCGGATGAAGCCACAGAGAAAGACACTAAGTCTGACTGATATCATACACTATGTTTTATCGGTGTCCCTGTCTCCCTTCTTGTACAATCCAGAGGAATATTTTTATCTACTATTTTGTAAATGCAAGTTTTTTAGTAGTTCTAGAAATATTTTTAAGAAGGAGGGAATCCTAACTCACCCATTTTTTAAGGGTAAATGCTTTTACTTAAGAGGTGAAATCATTCGCTGGTTGTTTATTTTATTTTCTGGTACAATCAGAAAATAGTGTGGGATATTGAATTATGGCAGGTTTTGACTGTCTTGGGAGTCCGCTTAACATTCTAAAGATGGGGGATTAGTTTCCATATCCTATAACAGAAAGCACAGTAAATGGCAATATGGAGTCACAGTCCTGCATTTAATGTCTCGAATATTTGTGATTATTTCTATTTTCATGTTGGCTTTTAGTAGAATTGTTTCCTAAAAAATACTACTCTTTGGTCATGGCTCCCCCTGTCAGAACAGTGTGCTGTCTGTAGCATCTTTGTTTGTGGTAGTCCTGTTTTCCTAAATGCATTATGCTGTGAAAGACTGAAATTTGAGTGTATATGTTATTAAATTGTGAATTGGTATGACATATGTAACAGCTTATCAACATTTGAAGATACTAGTACTTGATATCCTCTTAAGGAAAATTTGCTTCCAAATGTTAAGCTGGAGAGTCATTGGAATAACTTTTAAAAAGAACTGCAATGAATTTAAAAAGAATGAAAATAGCTTTTTAGAGTTTCAGTACATAATTTTGTACAAATTGGAATGTCTGTGTACTGATCCTCAACACAACCAATAAAAACCTCAATTAGGAAAGAAAAAAACTGATTTATAGTTCTCAAATTATTCTCCATAGCCACATTCCTGTCCCCACCCCCAGAGTATTTTTGGTTAGACCAGTTGCTCTGAGAGTAAAAAAGTCATAGAAGGAAAAAAAAGCGGGGAGGAACATAGCCTATGAGTGGGAGTTCAAGGTCACACCCTGATAATCATCGCTTCCCCATTCTTGCCGCAACAATTTGCACCCGTCATCATCATCTATGGATTTTTGGTAAATCAAGACACCAAATTCATTAAGAGCAGTGGGTCTCAAAGTGTGGCCCCCAGACCAGCATAACTTGAGAACTTGTCAGAAAAATGCAAATTCTCAGGCTCCACCCCACACCTACTGAATCAGGAACTTTGAGTATGGGACCCAGAAATCTGTATTTTAACAAGTCCTCCAGGTGATTCTAATGTGCACTCAAGTTTAAGACCCTCTGACAATGATCAAATGCATTTCTTTCACATCTGCTTCTTAATTGTCATAGTCAATTTTCTTGTTAAAATTTCCTAAGTGCTTCAACAACATTGCAGTCCATATCTAAGTGCAGCTGCTTCCCCTAGTAATGCCATTCTCCCTTTTGGAGCTCATGCTATTTCCCACGAGGTGGACATGCACTTTTGTACACCTGAATCAATTGTTGGTGGCATTGGCCCCTGGCTCTGAGCTCCTTCCCATTTGCACTGGCTGTACCACTCCCAGCATACCACCTTGTAAGTTACGTTAGCATGTTCATGACAAAGAAATTGCCTTTTGTTTGAATTTATCACAGTGCCTAATCTGTACAGAAAACCTAGTAAAAGTTTAACAGGTTGTTGAAGATTAGAGTTTTTCAGGGTGGAGTCTGCTGGCATAAGAATCACATGGAATGCATGCTGAGAGTGCAGATTCTAGGCCCCATTCTTTGCTTAATAAACCAGAAATTCCTACAAATGGGGCACAGGGATTTGCATTTTCAATGCACATTGAAATCTGATTTTCATTGCTATATATAAAATTCATCTTGATAGCAAGTACGGATGGAGTAACTGCTTCTTGAACTAACAGAGCACCGAACTAAACTCTAAGCTAAGGTGAAATAACCTGATAAGGGTTTACCTTGTGCCTAATCTGTGGCCCACTTGTTAAATGTATGCTGCGGGTTATGAAGTTCTCAAACAACTATATCACATTTTGTACTCTAAGATTCAGTCTATGAATATTGTGGGATAATTTTCTTACCAGTTGGGTCTTCCCCAGCCCAAACTTACGGAATTGATTTTTCAACCCTAACAAATTTTATCTGTTTATTTTCGGCCCAGACATCTGGGCTTCAAAACCATTTCGAAGATATCCTTTGGCCTATTTCTCCTGGATGTATTCATTTGTAAGTTGTTAAAGTTTATGTAAGCATCAGCAAAACTTAAACATGGACTTTCTGGTGGAAAAAAAGAAAACATCAAAATAGCTATCAAATGGCAAACAATATTATTTGTAACTACTAACACACAGTCGTAGAGCTAAAAAAATTTCCTAGCTTTAGTGATGAAAGTTAAACTTACTCCCCGACAACCTTCTCTTACCAAGTGGGTACATGAGAACTCATCCTCCCCCATACCCCAAAAATGCCTGCAGACAGATCCACTGTCAAAACAGTTACTGCAAAACACATTATACAATAGAAACAGAAGGAAGTCAAGAGACAGTGATTTTTAATACTGCTGCAAGAGAAGTAGCCATAAAACAAAAGAGAAAATGACAAGCTTTCTTAAAATAGCACTGTCTTTGTCAAAGCAATTTGGGTTCATCTTTATCTTGCCAAACATATGCAAATCCTTTTCTTATTAATTAATTATTAATCCTTTCTTATTAAATTGCAATGTCTAATTAAATTTTCACTAGACCTTTCTAAACTAAGCTGTGTAATGGAAACACACATACACCCACACCCCCATGAAGTCTATGAAAATTACTAGCCTTAGGTGATTCTAATGTACGATCTTAACTTTATTTTGGAATTTGACAATGGAATTATCAAATTGCATTTCTGACATTCATTTCAAGACAATAATTTTAATATAAGGATGGAACATACATTGGCTCATAATGGCTATCAGGAATTTTTTAAAAATTGATATACTGTATACACAATAAAAGTCACTCTTTAAGACATATAGTTGATAGGCTTTGACAAATGTATACAGCCATGAAACCACCACCAAAACTGCGTTGAATTGTGTGGCCCACAGACCTGCCACACACGGCTCCTTGAAATGTGGCCAGCACAAAATCAAATGTGTCATAAGTGTAAAGTGCAAAAATATGTAATAATTTTATATTTATTTTAGAGTGAAATTATATTTTATATATTAAGTTAAATAAAACATCAAAAAATTAATTTTACCTATTCCTATGTCTCTTTCTTTTTAAAAATTTACCTATAGAAAAATAAAAGTTAATGGTTCCCACTTGTGGCTCAAATTACATTTTTATTGGACAGTGCTGATGTGGATTATTTCTGTCCCTCACAGTGCTCCCCTTACCCTTCTGCAGCCTATACCATTTCCCTACCCCCAGGGGCTCCTGGCAACCACTGATCTAATTTCTACCTCTAAAGTTTTGCTCTTGGTAGGTTTTAAAAAATATTGCCCCCTTTTGTCTTATAGCTTCTAATTTTCCCATACTGTATTGTTTTTATAATTTTTTAAAGTTGTTTTCACATTACAAGATTTTTCAAAGCCTTGACTATAGTTTTCATTAACCAATGTCATTTTCGTTAACCACTTCCCAAGCTGGTAGGCCACCATAAATGCTTTCTGGGTAATCATATGGTTTGACTCTGTGTCCCCACCCAAATCTCATCTTGTAGCTCCCACAATTCCCATGTGTTGTGGGAGGGACCTGGTGGGAGATGACTGAATCATGGAGGGGGTCTTTCCCATGCTGTTCTTGTGATAGTGAATGGGTCTCATGAGATCTGATGGTTTTAAAAATGGGAGTTTCCCTGCACAAGCTCTCTCTTTGCTTCCCGCCATCCATGTAAGATGTGACTTGTTCCTCCTTGCCTTCTGTCAAGATTGTGAGGCCTCCCCAGCCACATGGAACTGTTAAGTCCCATTAAGCCTATTCCTTTTGTAAATTTCCCAGTCTCGGGTGTGTCTTTATCAGCAGTGTGAAAACAGACTAATATAGGTAAAGAGCTCTCTTCCTAGAGGAGATGTACACAAGTGGTTCCTAATTGAATGGAGACCATTGTGTGCACACACAACAGCGTCTATTCACAGATGCTCTGGGAGATCCATGCGAGAGGCAGGGAGCCTCCCATAGCTTAATTTTATTTAGCTTCAGGGAAGTGCAGAGAAAGCTTTATTTATGCTAAGAATAGGATGGACAGAAATATAAAGCACTAAATCAGCAAAATCATTTACAGGCAGGAGGTTTTGGCCCACAGGCAGGTCTACTAATGGGAACTCTGTGATGACTGATGAGAATAGCCAAAGAGATGCCAAGAGACATCCAACCCTCATCTCACCCCACCCTGCAATCCAGGCTCACCTGTTGCGGTTCTGCTCATCCTCAATTCTCTAATTAAATTAAAGTTAATTATTAATTATAACAGGCATTCACATTTACTGCTATTTACATTCATTCTTCACTCACTCAGATACTATATATCATCTTTCTGATTTTCCATAATATAATAAAAACACTGTAGGCTACCTCCTATCTCCATTTTCTCCAACTGGGTTAGTCTGGAGCTGGACGCCAGTCAGTCTGCCTCTGAACCCTTGGGGTTCCACTTAGAGAATCAACCTTGAGCATTTCCACCTCTTACTTCCACCCCATCCCCACTTTTCTTTATAGTCCCCTAGAGAACTAGAACAAAGGTCTTCACATTTTGATCACTTGACTTCTAGTCCTTTAAGGATAAGTAGTAAAATGCCAACTCTGCTCTTTGATCTGTACTTTCTTGTTTCCTCTGATGTAAGTAACAGTACCCAGGGAGTCTATGTCTCTCCTCCTTCCCCACAAACATATTTTGTGCAAAATTCTTCCCACCAAGGGGGTTGTCTACCCAATTTAGAATGGTGCCAAAAGAAGAACAACTGTTGGCTCTGAACATCCAGATTAGATGACACTCATTTCACCAAACCTCTGCTTAGCCCAAAAGGATCCCTTCTGGGCATTTCCACCCCAACTAGAGATGCACTAGAAATGGTCTCCAGTGTGGCTCTCATGCAATTGAAACATTGCGAAAGGATGCTAACTCTGGTGGTTCCCTAACCATGATGGCCAGAATCCAGGAGGGGTTTGTTGGTCAGGCACCATGTTGGCAGATGCTGACACTTCCTAGAATGAATTCGATCCACCTTGCCCTGGTGGAGGCTCCAATCCAGTGGGGGAGATAGTCAGATAATCACATAAATCCAAGTATAATTATTGTGTGCACACATGATTTTGATATGGAATCAGGGTTGGAAAGTAGTCTATGTCTGACATTTTAGAATAAAATACAAACATTTTTCCCAGAAGGGTATTGCCAAGGAAAGTGAGAGGAAGGAGTTTGTCTCCTCAATTATGCAATAAAAATAAACCATTTACAGAACATCCCACATATATAATCATTTCAAAAACTCTGCAAAGACAACATTATCATCTCTATTTTATAGATGCAGCAAAGCCAGGTTAAAAATGAACCTGCTGCAGCTAGAAGTGGCAGGATGCAGCACCTGGAACCTGATAGGCACTCAACTGGTATGCACACAGTTGCTGAATTAATAACGATTTGAAAAATACAGAAAATATTCCAACAGAGAGCGAGGAGAGGACTGTAGGTTGCCTGTATTTGGTGTTGCATGAAGCACCATCAGGCTTGGCCCAAAGTATGTAGGAGCCTTGACATTATAAAATACAATAAGAAAGGCTGTATGTTTGGCAGCTATACGAACAATTTGAATTTCTTTAGCAACTGGTTCCATCATGCAATAGCCTGGCCACAGCATATTGGAGAATTCAATAGAGACAAAAATGAGATTAATACCTGCAATTTCTACTGGAAAGGGTTGTTGCAAAAACTAAATGAGGCTATCTATACACAGGCAGTCATATTGTCTGCAATTTTTCAAAACATTACAACATGGGTATTTTTGTGATACAAGGGTAGTAATTATTTTTAACCTATACCCTGGGGTAGTTAGCATTTGAATGACTAATCAAAAGCTCATGTAAACAGAAAACCAAGTCAACCATGTTTATCTCTGATGAATACCAGAGGGTTGTTACTTAGAATAATGAATGCTGCAAATGATTTTTCAGTGTTCATAATGGGCTCTAAGTATTGTAGACTTCCCCACTCTTGCATAACCTGAAAATAAGAGTCTATCTAGCTCAGTTGTCTACGTCTTTCAAAGGGTGCCCTCAGACCTTGAAGTTCTGGGGATCTGATGTACAGCATGGTGACTACAGTTAATATTCTTTTATATACTTGAAATCTGCTACAATATAGATTTCACACACACACACAGTGAGGTGATAGATGTGTTAATATGTGTTAATAAACTTGATTGTGGTAATCATTTCACAATGTATGCATACATGAAATCATCACACTGTACACCTTAAATATATACAATTTTTATCTGTCAATTATGCCTCAATAAAGCTGGGTAGGGAGGGGGAAATGGTGTCCTCAGCTGAAGACTCTCTTCAGTCCTGTTTCTAGATGCTTTGGAGGAAATTTAGTCACCTCATGCTGTCAAGAAAGTTAGCCCAATCCTGACGCTAGAATATTGTCCCATCTGCTTCTAATGAAACTTTTTGCTCAATGTTCTCCAGATCCAACCAAAGGACAGAGCACAGGGACTGTCTAGAGCAGCTCTGTCCAACAGGACTTTCTAAGATGACATAAATATTTTGTTCACCTGACTAATAAGGTAGCCACTAGTTCAGGTGGTCACTAACCACTTGAAATGTGGCTAATGTGACTGAAGAATCAATTTTTGTTTAATTCCATTTAAATTTTAGTAGCCACATGTGGCTACTGGCCATCCTGTTGCACAGCAGTTTGGGAGCTTACAGAACAAGGTTGTGTGATGTTTTTGTGCCTGCTGGCCATGAAATGTTTATATGTGTGGCAGAATTCAGTCTGTAAGTTGTGTTCATGGCCGTGCTAGATGGTAAAGTTGTGGGAGAGGGAACCTGTAGTTCCCCTCTATTAGCACTGTGGACTATGTCAACTCATGATGCATAAACAACTCAGCTGAGGTCAGTTCTCAAAAGAGGCAGCATGGCTGCAGGGAGTCCTGGACTCTGGAGGCGAATCTAGGTCCTCTGAATTGCACAACTTAATATTAGAATGAAAACACATAACTCAGAGACTGTCATAAAATTAAATTATCAACCATGGGAAAGCATCAAGCAGAGTGTGTAGCCTTTGGCAGCGGTATGATGCAGTTTAACCTTGTGTACACCAAAACACTCTATTTTCACCACCTGCCCCCCACTTTAATTAAGTGCATGAGCCTTGATAAGGTTGTATCTGTTTGGGAATGAACATGCAAACAGAGCATAGGAAATCATACCCATCCTCTCCCCGCCCCTAAAAATAATCGTTATAAATATTTCAGCTAAGAATTTGGTTTGGAAGAAGGAAGTCCTTGTCACAATAATTCTTATAAAGCAAAAAAAGCAGTTGAAATAAGGCAACTTCCTTCTTTCTGAGGAGCATCACTTGAAGCCCATTTACATTGGTTCTTTTTTTCCCCTTAATTGTTTTTACTGGTAAAATACATATAAAATTTACCATTTTGGGGAGTAAAGAGGGAAAGGGAAGATGTTTGTCAACAGGTACAAAGTTTTAGTTAGACAAGAGGAATAAGTCTGGTGCTCTACTGCATAGCAAGGTGATGACAGTTAATAATAATGTACTGTATACTTAAAAATAGCTGAAAGAAATGATTTTAAAAGTTCTCACCACAAAAAAATGATAAATATTTCAAGCAATGGCTATGCTAATTAGCTTGCTATGACCATTCCACAATATATATGTATCCAAATATGACATCGTACCCCATAAACAAACATGTCAATTAAAAATAACTTTAATAAAAGAAAAAGAATACAATTTTAATCATTTTTAACTGTACAGTTCAGTAGTATTAAGTACTAAGTATATACTACTCTGTAATACTAAGTATTAATTCAAATTTCCATAAGTTTTTGTCCTCAAAGGTAAAATGATATACTAATATGTAAAAGAGCATTTAAACATGCACGAGATTAACATCAAATTCAGAATAATGCTCAGGAGGGAAGCAGGGAAAGAAGGTGTTCAGGAAAGAAATAAAAGGGGGCTTAAGTTTTATCTATGTTTTTTTTTTCAAAGATACAATGAAATATGGCAAAATGCTAAGACTTGACCAAACTGAGATTTAAGTACACAGGCGTTTGTCATATCATTTTCTGTATGTTAATGTATTCTTCTAACTATTTTTTTTTTTTTTTGAGACGGAGTTTCGCTCTTGTTGCCCAGGCTGGAGTGCAGTGGCCCGATCTCAGCTCACTGCAACTTCTGCCTCCCGGGTTCAAGTGATTCCCCTGCCTTAGCCTCCCAAGTAGCTGGGACTACAGGCGTGTACCACCATACCCGGCTAATTTCTTGTATTTTAGTAGAGATGGTGTTTCACCGTTGGCCAGGCTGGTCTCAAACTCCTGACCTCAGGTGATCCACATGCCTCGACCTCCCAAAATGCTAGGATTATAGGCATGAGCCACCGTGCCCAGCTCTTCTTTCAACTCTTTATTTTGACCTAATTTTAGACTTACAGAGAAGTTGCAAACATAGTACAGGGTATGCATATACCTCTCAGCTTACACCACTAACGTTAACCTCTTACACAGCCATAGTACAATGATCACACCAGGATATTAACTTGGATACAGCATGATTAACTAAAACAAAGATGGTATTGGAATTTCCTGTTTTTTCACTAATGTCCTTTTTTTATTCTACAATCCTATCTAGAATCACATATTCCATTTAGTGGTTCCTTCTCCTTAGTCTCTTGTAGTCTGTGACAGCACCTCAGTCTTTCCTTGCCTTTCTTGACCTGAAACTTGTCAGAAACTCTGTCAAATGTCCCACAAATGGAGTTTGTCAGATATTTTCTCATGATTGAGATTATACATTGTTGGCAAGAATACCACAGAAACGATGCTGTGCCCTCAGTGCATCCCATCACAGGTTCAGGATGTCTCTTTTTTGTATGCTTAAAGTATTTCATAATTTAAATTAATGAAAAATAAATAGCTATATTAGTCTAGGTTCTGTAGAGATACAGAACCAATAGGAAATGAATGGATGAAAGGAAGGAAGGAGAAAGATGAAAGAAAAAGGAAGGAAGGAAGGCAGGAGGGAAGGAGAGAAAGAGAAAGGAGAGAGATTTTAAGGAATTGGCTCACGCATTTATGTAGGCTGAGAAGTCCCAAGATCTGCTAACTGCAAGCTGGAGACCCAGAAAACCCAAGGGTATAGCTCCAGTCTGAGTCTGAAGGCTTGATAAGCAGGAGGGCTGATAGTGTAAGTGCCAGTCTGATTCCAGGAGCAGGGAAGGACTGTGCAAAATCTCCTTTACTCAGTGTTTTGTTTTACTCAGGCCTCAATGGATAGGATGATGTCCACCCACACTGGGAAGGGCAATCTGCTTTCCTGGGTCTACTGATTCAAATACTAGTCCATACAGAAATACCCTCAAGGACACCTCCAGAATAATGTTGAACAAATATCTGAGCACCACATGGCCTAGCCAAGATGAAACATAAAATTAAGCATCATAACAGCTTAACTTCCAAATTAGAAACTTCCTACTCTGTATATTTAGGTTCCAAATCCCATCAAGTCAAATGGATCTTAGGAAGTGTTCCAATTCTTAGTTATTATTGGCTTCAGGCCTAAAACATTATAAATCCACAACATACTATCATTTCTAAAACTTCAAGAAGCTTTATTACAGTTGATCTTGCTTCAAGAGAAAAGGCAGCTTATACTACTTAGACGATGTAAAATTGTAATCCAAGGGAAGCTAGACCTGCAAGTCTAATTAAGGCCCTAAGAAAAAAATTAACATGAGCCGTATTGTTAATGAGGACCCCCAAATCCCCTGACCTTCTTTTGGAGGTGAAAGTGGAGTTACCATTTAGAAGTGACTACATTCCTCAGCATGGCATCCTAAGGATGATGCGTGTCATTGCTATTTCTATGATGCTTCAGAAAGAAAAACCTAAATGATCATATATTTTTCTAGAGCAAGAAATTGTGTTTCAGGTACTTTCACTACCTGAGTTGTATATTTTCAAAGTTGTGTACACACACACACACACACACACACACACACACACACACAGATTATAGAGAATATATCAGATATGGTTTGGCTATGTCCTCACCCAAATCTCAAATTATAGCTCCCATAATTCTCTGGTGTTGTGGGAGGGACCCAGTCGGAGGTAATTGAATCATGGGGGGTGGGTCTTTCCCACGCTGTTCTCATGACAGTGAATAAGTCTCATGAGATCTGATGGTTTTATAAAGGGGAGTTCCCCTGCACATGCTCTCTCTCTTGCCTGCCACCATGTAAGATGTGACTTTGCTGCTCCTTTGCCTTCTGCCATGATTTTGAGGCCTTCCCAGCCACATGGAACTGTGAGTCCATTAAACTTTTTTTTCTTTATTCATTACCCAGTCTTGGGTATGTCTTTATTAGCAGCATGAGAATGGACTAATACAGTATCTCTACAAATATATCATAGAGAAATGGTACAAATAAGTAAAACTTCTAGCTGGGCATAGTGGCTCATGCCTGTAATCCTAGCACTTTGGGAGGCTGAGGTGGGTGGATCGCCTGAGGTCAGGAGTTTGACACCAGCCTGGCTGACATGGTGAAACCCCGTCTCTACTAAAAAACAAAAATTAGCCGGGTGTGGTGGCACATGCCTGTAATCCCAGCGACCTGGGAGGCTGAGGCATGAGAATCCCTTGAACCCTGGAGACAGAGGTTGCAGTGAGCTGGAGATCATGCCACTGCACTCCAGCCAGGGCAGCAAGAGCAAAACTCCATCTCAAAAATAAATAAATAAATACATAAATAAATAAATAAAATTTAAAGTTTTCTCTGAGGCTGCCTCCCTTTGAAGCTCTTCTATCCTCGGGATCACTCTAAACTTTGGTGGTTTACGCTGGGAAATCATTTTTTTCTTAAATGTTTATATTCAGTTCAAAGTGCTCCATTTCCATGAGTAATGACAAAACATAGTTTCTCCTCCGCCTCTACTCCAGCAGCATGGAGAAGAAGCTACTTATGAATTGTTTTTTAGGCCCCCAGAGTTCTGGAAGGCAGTCACCAACTTTTTATGAACAGCTAGAGAGACGACTCCAGATCCCATTATGCCAAAGAGAAAGCTGAATGCTTATTTTAAATCTCATTTTGGTGGCCGGTCGCGGTGGCTCACGCCTGTAATCCCAACACTTTGGGGAGCCGAGGTGGGTGGATCACGAGGTCAGGGGTTCGGGACCAGCCTCACCAACATGGTGAAACCCCGTCTCTACTAAAAATACAAAAATTAGCTGGGCGCCTGTAATCCCAGCTACTCAGGAGGCTGAGGCAGGATAATTGCTTGAACCCGGGAGGCGGAGGTTGCAGTGAGCCGAGATCGTGCCACTGCACTCCAGCCTGGGCGACAGAACGAGACTCTGTCTCAAAAATAAATAAATAAATAATAAATAAATAAATCTCATTTTGGCCTGCCCCAAATATGGACACCATTGTTAGCCAGTCCTGTATACCATATGTACCCCTTGCAAGTACTTTTAGAACATGCGGTTCCCCTCAACGGATTTTCTTCCAAGAAACCAGAACATGGGTTTATTTCGGCCTGGATCAATTCCCCCAGGAATCTTCCAGGGAGGAGGTGGGTGGTCAGCCTCCTGAGACAAGAGTGTGTAGAGGTTAGGATATGGGCTCTGAAGCCAGACTACCTATGTTTGAATCTGGCTATGTTTGAATCTAGGTTCTGGGTTTATGATCAGGGAATGTGAGAGAGTTATACAACCATTCATGCCTTGGTTCCTCTTTCTATTGAATGGGGCATATGATGATACTTAACTGATTGAGTTGCTGTGAGGATTAAAAAATGACACATATAAAGTGCTTAGTACAAGATCTGGCATATAATAAGTGTTAAATAAGTGCTAGGGAAAACTAGCCAGGCATGGTGATATACACCTGTAGTCTTAGCTACCTGGGAGGCTGAGGAAGTTTGCTTGAGGCCAGGAGTTTGAGGCTGCAGTGAGTTATGATGGCATCATTGTACTCCAGCCTGGGCAACAGAGTGAGACCCTGTCTCTAAAAATAAAAAATAATAATAAAACAAAATAAAATAAATGCTGGGGAACATGTTACTTCTGACTTAAACAGCCTCCAGGATTAATCCAGGTCCACAATCACTCAGGGAAGTTGTGGGCAGTCTGTGGGTACCTGCCAGGCTGCATCTATTGGGTAGTAGAATCTGCTTCTTTCTAACTATAACTCTGCCTATTTCTTCTATCATGTCATCAGAATTCCTTAAACATCTTATTTAACAGAACAAACGAATTTAAGCCAGTTCTACAGTGAAAAAAGTGAGACTGAGTCATGGCAAACTTTAACTGTAATCTTGTTAAGCAGAAATGGAGACAAATATTTGGAAAAGATCTTTAGAAATTGATAGATTCCAATGCGTTGAGGTTCTTTTAGGTCAGATAAGTGTTTCTTGGCTTTTTGCCATTTGTAAGCATATGTGTGTGTGTGTGTGTGTGTGTGTGTGTGTGTGTGTATTTATACCCATGCCCCTTATTTAGAGCTCTAAATCTCCTAAGGACGGGAACCATCTTAGCCACCTGACAAGAGAGAAGTAACCTCCATGCATTCGTCCTTCTACCCTCAAGAGGAATCCTCTTCAATCCGGGATGGTATGGGCATAAAATATATATATATATATATATATATATATATATATATTTTGTTGTTGTTGTTGTTGTTGTTGTTGTTGTTGATCAGAGTGTCGCTGTTGTTGCCCAGGCTGGAGTGCAATGGCGCTATCTCCGCTCACCGCAACCTCTGCCTCCTGGGTTCAAGTGATTCTCCTGCCTCAGCCTCCTGAGTAGCTGGGATTACAGGCATGGGCCACCACACCCGGCTAATTTTGTATTTTTAGTAGAGATGGGGTTTCTCCATGTTGGTCAGGCTGGTCTCAAACTCCGGACCTCAGGTGATCCGCCCACCTCAGCCTCCCAAAGTGCTGGGATTATAAGCGTGAGCCACTGCGCCCGGCCTAGGGCACAGAATATTTTGGAAGCAAAAGGGATAATTCTGTGGCTTTCTATCCCCGTTTTTCCTTTTCTCTCTCCACATTCCTGGCTCTAATTCAGGTCTTTCTGTTGCCATGGTAACCAACAGTCTCAGAACACAGACTTCTGACAGCTGGACTTTTAGCCACTGAGACTCGGGATGTGAAGGATTTCTCACGTCTCCCCTTCTTGCCTCAGGAGTTAGCAGCACTTCTTCCATGTGGGCAGCCACCAGAGCAGGGTGTGACAGTCTTGCGTGCATGTGTGTGTGTGAGCACACGCATGTGTGTATGCGCGTGTGTGTGTTTGTGCGCGCGCGCGTGTGCACGCATTCTTCCAGCCCTACTTGCTTTCCGGGGCTTCACAGAAAAAGCTGGACTAAAAAGTGTCATCAGATGATGGGAGGATGGGCATCTAAACAGCAAAACCTTCCTGGAAAGTAATTTGGTATCAACCAGCAGAAGACTGTAATATATTTGTGATGTTTGGTCCATTAATCCTACACATAGAAAAATAAGGGTCATAGTCAAAGATTTATGGAAAAGCAGGTTTACTACAGATTTATTTAGTAAAACAATAACTACCACCTAATGGTCATTAATAAGAATTAACAATTGCAGAGTAACCATATATATGTTTGTTGTAGGCTATGCCATAAAATAATCTGTTTCAACTGATGTGATAGCCACATTCACATATATGGATATGTGGATATATTATATAAATGTACAGATATATATGTGTGTGTTTATATAAATAGAAAAGATAAGGAAGTCCATCAAAATGTTTTGATAGTTATTACCTTTAGAAGGTAGGACCATGGCATGTTTGTTTTTGTCTTCATACTTTTCTACATTTTTCCAATTTTATATAATGATCTTTTTCTTTTATGATACAAGATCTTAAAACTGTAATAGGACAAATGATGAGAGGTGGAGATGCTTAGTAGAGAGGATTATAACACAATGAAGTAAGTTTTGAAAGGCAGAGGGCTGCCTCTTCTGCCCTTCACTGGGAGATTATAAAAATAGGATAAGACTTCAATCTAAATGGGGTAGTTCTGAATAGAAAAGGGAATGGGGCTGGGCGTGGTGGCTCATTCCTGTAATCCCAGCATTTTGGGAGGCCAAGGTGGGTGGATCACCTGAGGTGAGGAGTTCAAAACCAGCCTGGGCAACATGGTGAAACCCCATCTCCACTAAAAATACAAAAATTAGCTGGGCATTGTGGCGGGTGCCTATAATCCCAGCTATTTGGGAGGCTGAGGCAGAAGAATCACTTGAACCCAGGAGGTGGAGGTTGCAGTGAGCCGAGATCACACCACTGCACTCCAGCCTGGATGACAGAGTGAGACTCCATCTCAAAAAAAAAAAAAAAAAAAAATAGAAAAGGGGATGGATAATGTTTTTGCTTAAGTACCATGATTCTCTTCTCCCCGGTCCCACCTACTTTTTCTTTTTTCTTCTTTTCTTTTTTTGAAGCTTCTCAAGTTGAGAGAGATTTGTGCCTTTGAACTCCATGGCATATTCATCCTCTAACAGCGACATAGAGGACGACAGCTCCAAATCCAATTCCAACCTGATCCTCTCTGTGGGCTATTTCCCCTGTGAGGACACCCCCTGTGAGGACACAACCTCCTGGGAAGACGCACCTTCCAAGGGTCCTTCCATCCACTTTCTCCCTCCCATCCAAGGGGCATGGGGGACTGAAAGGATAAGGAAACACATGAAGAGACAATACCAAATTCAGGACGAACCAGACAGTTTTGCAAACTGAACATCTTCCTGGCCTGGGACATGGACGTTGGCTCTGACAACACAGACTCAATAGCTAATAGGCTTCTAAATGGAGCCAACCTGTGGATAAACAAGTTCCCAAAAGAGAGGACAAAACTATCTGTCAGCAAACTGAATAATCTTGTGCAAGAGTTTCAGACATTTCTAGAAAATCTGAAAGACAATGAAGATGATGATGCTGTGTTTCCTGAAACTACTCAGATTTCCAGCTGTACGGCAGCTCCCCTCCAGAAATGGTTCAGGTCAGTCATCAAGAACATGATGCTTGTCAAGACCTGCCCAAGTGCAAGCCACCAGAAAATAAAGATGTTATGTAGTCTCCACAGACTCCTCTAAGGCTTAAGGAACATGAGCTGGCTGAGGTGAGCACAGAGATGCCTCATAGGATAGGAAGGGATAGGCCTGGGTTGAACCACAGAATCTTACGACCACTAGGAAGCAGGTCCCAAGGGGCCCGAAGTGATACCAGTGGGAGACAGACAACGAAGAAAGGAGTCAGGGTGGAGTTTTAGGGAAAAGACTGAGGAATGCTGAGGTAAACAAGAGGGTAGCAAGCAAGGAGAAGGACTAAAAACTGTATCTACATTGAAGCTTTGCATTGACACTTGGGCTTTTTTTTTTTTTTTTTTTTTGAGACATTCTTTCTCCGTTGCCCAGGCTGGAGTGCAGTGGTGTGATCTCGGCTCACTGCAACCTCTACTTCCCGTGCTCAAGTGATTCTCCTGCCTCAACCTCCTGAGTAGCTGGGATTATAGGCGTCTGCTACCCTAACTTTTGTATTTTTAGTAGAGACAGTGTTTCACCATGTTGGCCAGGCTTGTCTCGACCTCCTGACCTCAAGTGATCCACATGCCTCGGCCTCCCAAAGTGCTGATACTACAGGTGTGAGCCATCGCACCCAGCCTACTTGGGCTATTTTTGCTAAAAGGATGTGAGTTCCATAAATGAGTAAATGTTGACTTGGCTGCTGTCATGGTTACGCCTACCTAACATATTCTTTATTTTCTTGGCAGATGATAAGCCAGGCAACTGCCAGCCAAAGGACAAGTGCTCCAGAGATCTCAATCCTGTCAGAGCAGCCGGAGAAGGATGACACTCCTTCCCACACACAGGCCCAGTGCTGCCTGAACTTTGGGTGGGCCTTCAGCTGGCTGAGGCAGCATATCCTCTCCCCTCTGCTGAGGAGGTATCATCCTGTGAAAGCCACCAAGAGTCCCCGTCAGCCAGCACCAAGGAAACGATTCTTTCACAGAGGCAAGAGAATTCAACCTCAAGAAACCCTTGAATTAGGACATCCTATATAGACAGATTTTTCAACTTTTTGGAAAGTTGAAAATAATCCATAAGATAGGATTCCACTGATAATCCCCAATAGTTTATTTTTTCCTCAATAAACAAAATAAACGTTCTTGTTACCCATGTCTTCCTCTTCCAGCACACCATCTTGACTCACATTGAAAGCATATGTGCTGTTCTTTTTTGAAGCTTCTCAAGTTGACAGATTTGTGCCTTTGAACTCCATTGCATATTCATCCTCTAACAGTGACAGAAAGGACGACAGCTCCAAATCCAATTCCAACCTGAGCCTCTCTGCGGGCTATTTCCCGTGTGAGGACACCCCCTGTGAGGACACAACCTCCTGGGAAGATGCACTTCCAAGGGAAGAAATTCTTTCTCAGGAAATTTTAAGTAGTATTATGCTTCCTAAACTGAAGTATTCTTTTTCTCTCCTCTCACCCATTCTTACTGTATTTTACTCTAGTTAACCCAAATCCCCATTTTCAGTAGGTAGCAGCGTGACCCATCACATTCCTGCGGTGGCAGGATGATTTGGCTTGAACTTGCAGGGCTTGAGTGAGTGGCAGTAGGTATTGAGTCACTGAGGAAATTAATTTCAATTTCAGAGATCAGACAGCAGTTCTGATATTCCCCAGGTACCTGACAGGTTCTAGCATGTGTTGCCTTGGCTGTAGTAGTGGCCCACTTAGGAGCAATGTGACGACTGTGAACACTTCTTAACCACTCTAAGTCTAGCTGTCTTCATTCAAAAGAAGTGGAAGATAATAATACATACCTCACAGGGTTAGTGTGAGAGTTTATGAGGTAACACAAGCACTTGATAAATATTATTACTGTTGTTGCAAGTAGACATTCTCCTGAGGAACTCTCCAGACAACTTGTTCAAGGGATATCCAAGAGTGAGAGTTAATTAAGAGTCAATTCTCATTGAAACATTTCCCACACAGAGCAGTATTTACCAAAAGTTCAGGGTTTTCAGTAAATCTTAACCAAGTCCTCTCCCAATCCATTCCATTCTGCCCTCTGAAACTCCTTTGCAATTGTCATTGAACGTTCCACTGAATGTCAACTTCTTTGAGGAAGGTGCCCTCAGCCTTCTTGTCCTGACTCTCACCTTCCCAGCATCTCTACCATCCTCCTCATTCAATCACAGGTTCACTCAACGTCCTCCTTCTTCTGCTGGCACTACCATCCTGTGTGACCTTCAGAGTTTATGTGGCAAAGCATATGACTCTTCAGTTTCAAATTCCTTCCTTTCCTCAATTTCAATTCCCTTATCCCTCTCCTTCCTCTCTTCTTTCTTCCTTCTACAAATATTTAGCAAATAGGAGTGTCAGATACCTTTCTAGCTTGTCAAAAAAAAAAAAGTCTTGATCTTTAGGCTCAATTGCCTTATTTAAGAGATAAAATCAGGCAAATATATGACTATAAAGACTATGAGTGATAATATTCTGTAGTGGGTAAACATTGAGTTCTAATGAAGTAATAATCCATTCAGCAAGGGGAGGTTGGTTGTAAAAGGCTTCCTGTTCCCCAACTTCTAACTGCTTCCCTCTAGATCTAACCCATATACCTCCTACCCAAACTTGGCATGTCTACCACATCTAGTAACATCTGCCATGCCTTGCCTTTCTCTTCTCCCAGATATTTTTTAAAATCTATACTCATCAAGTTCCCGAAGGGGACACACTTGCTTCTCACTGGGGCCAATACACAAAACCATAGGGATTTCCCTCCCCATTTCCTGACTGCCTGGGAAACTCATCCTTAAAGAACCTGCTCTAGGGTTACTACTGGGCAATATTGATCCCTCAGGCAAAGGGATCATGACCCTCCTTTAGCTGTCCCCTAGTCCCTGCTCTGCCACCTTCTTGCCATGATTTGTACTTTTCAGCCCTCTTTATAGATCCATTTTACCTGTAGACTGTGAGATCTAAAGGCAACCACCAGGTCTTAGTTCCTTTATATTGCAAATCCTAACACAGTGGGCTGCGCGCAGTGGCTCACGCCTGTAATCTCAGCACTTTGGGAGGCCGAGGTGGGTAGATCACTTGAGGTCAGGAGTTTGAGACCAGCCTGGGCAACATGGTAAAACCCTGTCTGTACTAAAAATACAAAAATTAGCCAGGTATGGTGGCAGGGGCCTGTAATCCCAGCTACTCGGGAGGCTGAGGCCGGAGGATCATTTGGACCCAGGAGGCAGAGGGTGCAGTGAGAAGAGATGGCACCACTGCACTCCAGCCCGGGCAATGGGGCGAGACTCCATCTCAAAAAAAACAAAAAAAACAAAATCCTAACACAGCATTTAGTAGAAAGTAATCTATCTCTCTGACTCTATGTAATTCTTTAAATGTTTTTAATGTATCCTGTCTATATAATTTTAAAAAAGTGAAATACAACAGCTTAAAGAGTTGCTATTCTTTAAGTCAAAAAAGACTGGTCAGTAGGGTCAAGAACAGGAGTGAAAAGGGAGGCAGACAAGAAGAGAACATAGCCATCAAGTAGACGTCAAGTGAGATGGCAACCTATCAACTGAGAAATCTATTAGGACCAAGGAATTCAGAAACTAAATTGAAAATTTAATTCAACAAATATGCAAGGAGCCTTACTGTTGCTTTAGACTAGACACTATGATAGGCCTGAAAGAAAGATGACATATCTTACTCTCAAAAGACTTGCAACCAGTTTTATTATTTTAATTCTTACTCTCGCAATTAAGCTCTAGGACGAACTCAACCAAAATACTTTAGAAGACTGTCTACACTGAATAAGATGCACTGTTCTTTAGTAAGATTTCTGACATACTTGTGTTTATTCATCAGTGTTTCATAAACCTGCTTGGCAGGTATGAACCTGTCCCTAAAATATAAGCAGTGTGCTTTGCAAGTCTTTACAGTAAAGTAAGCTTTCCATACCCTCTGAGGTTGGGTGTCATGCTATATATTAGAAAGCAGGACGAAGTATTTTAAAATAGGAAATATCTCAGTATCTCTTAATTATAGTGTCAAATACATTATGGGCCAGGTGCCGTGGCTCATGCCTATAACCTCAGCACTTTGGAAGGCCGAGGCGCAAGGATCGCTTGAGCCTGGGACTTTGAGACCAGAAAATTCACGGCTCAAGAGGATGCACGGATCCAAGTCTAACTGGCCACAAGAATAGAGTCTAAAATCCTCTTACAAAACAAAAGAAAAATGAAGCAAGTTATAGACGATTTCCTAGAGAGTGCTAAAGTCCTTACACCAACAATAAAGAACAATTTTGAAGGAACAGTTAATTGCTTCAAAAATATGTCTCCTCATTATATATTGCAAGTGGGAGAACTTATATAGCATGCAGGACAACCTCCAATTTCAAGATGGACGGGTGGGTTTTATATTGCATTACCTGGAGTCGATCTTTTCCTGCTACCTACTAATACCTCAAACAAATAGAACAACGCTGTGCTTTCAGAAGTGAAATAAGACCTTCATCAGATAACATTCACTGAGGGAGCCAGTCATGAGCACAATTGGTAAAAAGCCTCAGGATAAATTCCCCCAAAGGATTATTAGTCTAGATCAAGAAGTACCAAGACAAAACAATTTCCGCTTTATTCCACCTTTCAAAGGAATTCCATGGCTTTAATGCCCATTTGATTTCAATATAATATGCTTTATAAGGAACTACTTCTAAGACATTTTCAAATGGTATGGTAAACATCACAGCTTTTCAGATTGTGGCACTGAAAGAAAATTCATCTCATTGCTACTGAATTCTCTCAGTCCAAAAGAAAATAAATAGCAATTTATTTAGTTTTTCCTCACCTGCAGCAATAAAGATTATTTTAAGTACAAATCTTTAAAATAAAGAGCTCTCACCCTAGGGTACAGGTTTCCTGCATACCCACTCAGAAAGGAAAAGAAAACCCTTCAAACATCTTCATAGTTAATGTGTGTTTGGATAGTTGTTTTCAAGTTTCACTTTCATCGATCCTTCTGTCATGCGTCTTTTGGGCCAAGATTTTCCCCAAGCAGGACATGGGATGGAAAGGAGAATTTTTCTTCAGTAAAATGACTTTAGAGATCAAGTTAGTACCATATTGCAACCAGCAACTTAATAATTGATTCATAATAGATGAATCATAAAATAGATGCTAAAACCATTGGGTGAATCACTGTCAGGGAAAAAAACATGCACATGCTCTCTAAGATTACCCCACAGGTGCATTCTTAGTTATCAAGAGGATTAGGCACCTTTACAATGGAAAGGTCTGGTCAACACCAACTTAGCCAAGTGATTAAACTCAGCCTAGCTAATATCATGCACCTTCTGAAGAGAAGCAATGTACACTTGCTAGCAATGTTTAATTTGAATCTAATTATGAGGACACCAACAGTTAGATGAATCTAGACTATACGATATTTTACCACACAACTGTCTTTGACTTTTAAAACATGTTAACATCATGAAACACAAAATAAGGAAACACAAAAAAGACAGGGAGACAAGAGAGTTCATAAAAGAGATGAAAGAAACATGACAACCAATTGCTATTTGTGATTTTTGATGGAATCTTTGATCAAAACCAAAAGCAAAACAAAAACTATAGTAAAGGATATTTTGGTTTTGAATGTGGACTAGGTTCTTAGGAAATTTAGGCTGAAATATTTAAGGGTAGAAGTGTCATGATATCTGCAACTTACTTTCAAGTAGTCCAGGAAAAAAAAGACAGAGAGAAAACAAAGATGGGGAAAATATAAAGAAAAGCTCTAGTAAATAAGTAGTATAGATCTCTATTAAAGTATTAAATCTGTTACACTTGTATGACAGTAATATCTTTTTTTTTTTTTTTTTTTTTGAGATGGAGTCTTGCTCTGTCCCCGAGGCTGGGGTGCAGTGGTGCGATCTTGGCTCACTGCAAGCTCCGCCTCCCGGGTTCAAGCCATTCTCCTGCCTCAGCCTCCCGAGTAGCTGGGACTACAGGCGCCCGCCACCACGCCCAGCTAATTTTTTTGTATTTTTAGTAGAGACGGGGTTTCACCATGTTAGCCAGGATGGTCTCGATCTCCTGACCTCCGTGATCCGCCCGCCTCGGCCTCCCAAAGTGCTGGGATTACAGACGTGAGCCACTGCGCCTGGCCAACAGTAATATCTTATGAGATTATATATATTTAAAACATTAAAACATTTACTCTAAATAAAACTTAGATATTAATTTGACTTCTCAAGTGATGTAAACTGGACAATTCTTTAATCTGGACTCCTTCATTCATTCTCGCACCTGCCTTTGGGTTCACAGCTGGCTGCAAAGAATTTTCAGTCTCATAGATTGGTAAATATTCATCCTTCAAGTCCTAACTGTAAAAAGGCAAATTGGTTCAGTTGAAAGCAGACTAGCATCTAGGTATTTTTACAGAACACGTAAGATTTCAGGAGTTTATCTAGCTTTTGTTGAGATTAAAAAGAATAATTTTTGCCGAATGCGGAGATAGGTCCTCTGCCGTTTGAAATTTTTGCAAGTTTCAAAGCCTGAATATCTGATTTCTACCTTCAAAATACCATCTTTTAAATTTTTTGTTTCTCACAAATCAAGAACAGCCTGACACTTACAATACTAAGAATTTCTTCAAATTGGACATTTTCTTTTATTTTGAGCCATGACAGATTGTTCTGCTTCTTCCTACCTAACAAGAAGAACAGGCATAGTCACTATATAATGCATTGTGCATTCTGGGGGACTTCTGAGGGTGAAAGAGGGTGCTCTTATAGGCTTTTTTTTTTCTTGAGACAGAGTCTCACTTTTTCGCCCAGGCTGGGGTGCAGTGGCATGATCTCTGCTCACTGCAACCTCTGCCTCCTGGGTTCAAGTGATTCTCATGCCTCAGTGTCCCAAGTAGCTGGGACTATAGGCGTACACAACCACACAGGCTAACTCTAATATTTTTAGCAGAGACAGGGTTTCACCATGTTGGCCAGATTGGTTGTGAATTCCTGGCCTCAAGTGATCTGCCCACCTTGGCCTCCCAAGGGCTGGGATTACAAGCCTGAGCTGCCATGCCTGCCCTATATAGTCTTTATTAACATTTTTAAGCATGCATCTCTTACATGATTAAAGCCATAGATCCTCTCTTAAACTAATGCACATATTCATATATACTGACCACTTGGCAAATAATTTAAAAAGTTCAAAGACTCTCCGAATCCTATTCTTCCATCCCAGGTTAAAAACCCAGGTTCTTAAGTTTGACTTCCTGGCTTCAATTCCCAGTCCACCACTTATTTGCTGTGGATCCTGGGGAAGTTACTTAACTTCTCTGTGCTGTTTCCTCATCTACAAACTGCAACACTAACAGTATTAGCCTCAAAGGGCTGTGGTAAGAATTCGTACCTGGCACATAACAAGTGCTTACAAATTTTAGCTGCTGCTAGTTGCTGACACACAATTCCTCTATTTTAAAATCTGCTATTGTTCCTAATGACTACAGAATAAAGTCCAAGCAAACTACCATTGAATCTCTCTATAATCGGATCCTGAGGCAATTTTCTAGTCTTATTTCACAATACTCCCCCACTGCCCCTCACACTCCAGAACCTTTATGTTACTTGTTCCTTGTACCTTCGTGCTCCAATGCTTTTGCTACCTCTTCTTGGAACTGGCCTAATGTGCTACTTCTCCAGTCTACCCTGCTGCCCACCCACTCCCAAATGGGCATTCAAGACCCAGGTTATATTGAAGCTCCTCCGTAGAACAGAGCAGGTTGGAATTAACCTCACTCTGCCTTGTGCCACCACAGCACTTCACTTTTACCCGTAGTTAGTGTACATTTTATCCAGACTTACAAAAATGTGCACTTATGTCTTTCCCTCCCACTAGACAAAAGACCCTATGTTCTGCTTATCTTTGCATGCTCCAAAGCCCCTGGCCCAGTTTCTTGTACACAGTAGCTCCATGATAAATAATTCGTAAAATGAACAGTTAATCTGCAGGAAATAATTTAAACGGATAACATCTGAAAGTGAATGTCATTTCCTTTCAGAAAACCTAACTAGCTTCTACTTTAATTAACTCTCATCCCTGGATATTTATATGAGGGGGGTGCAGGGAGACACAGCGCAGCGTAGATGTTTCCTGAGTGGAAAAGCTCAGTTTTATACAATAGACAAAGCTGGTTAACAAAAGAATATCCACATCTTTCTACTTCTCTGACTACAGACTTATAGTACAAAGTGACTTACAAAGTCACCTCTGTTTTAAATTTAAAAAGATTTTTTTAAAGCCATTGCATTTCTAAATATTCTAGATGTTTAAATTCATTCATTCATTCAAATTCATTTAATGAACATTAACGTGCCAGGGGCTGTGCACGAAAATGAGCATGATACATAACCTCTGTGTCACATGATTACCTTTCACAGTCAGACACTACTGTTTCTGCTCATTGATACACATTTATGCAAGTTAATTTAAGGAACACAGTGGGCAGGAAATGATATATCTAGGCTAAAATGATGCATGAGATTCCTAAGATGCCCTACAGTGGGCCATCAGGCATCACTAAGAATTCCCCCTGCTCTTTCATTCATTTATTTAGGATTCATTCACTTGCTGAGGTGCCCCTAGGTGCTGGCCATTACTACCTTTCATGCCAAGGACATGGGGATACGTGATGTTGTTCCCATTCTCTAAATGTTCAAAGCCTGGCAGCAGGGCTAATTATCGTTTGTTCAACAACAAATGATAATTTCTTGGGCACATTTTCCTTGCCTGTCTTCATCTCACAAGAGCCTATTTAAAAACATTGGTCTGGCTATACCAGCTTACAGTTCATTTTTACCTTAAATTATTGGTTTTCTACATGAACCACACAGTGGGACTGGGAAAGTTTCCGGCCACAATAATTGGGATTATTTTGCTTCTATTATACAGTTGACACATGTGAATTGGCCCACCTGCTAAAATTTGCTTGCAACCCCCACATTAGTACCTTCACACTCATTCACAGACACATGCAAAGGAGCGAGAATTCTCGGTCACCATGGCGGAGTTCCCAGCGCAGGCTGAACAAGACGATGCTCCACTTTCCTGCATCAGTTCAGCCCTCCTGCCATAAAGTGTCCTTTTCATGGTCTATTCTGTGCCACATTTTTCACACGTTTGTACTTGTCGATCAACCCTTGTGCTGTTTAAAATGGCTCCAAGCACAGTGTGGAAGCGCTGCCTGGTGTTCCTGAGGTAATGAGGCCGTGCCTCAAGGACGAAACCAGTGTGTGAGGTCAGCTTCCTTCAGGCCTGAGTTACAAAGCTGTTGGGTGTGTGTCAGTGTTAATGATTCAACAACATATGTGAAAGTGGTATCTAAACAGAAACACACATAAAACAAGGTTGTGTATTGATCAGTTGGCAAAAACACTGTGGTCAAAGGCTCGCAGGACCCTCCCTCTGCATTTCCCCTAGGAAAAGTATTTGGTCATTCAGTGTTCACAATCACTTCAGAGCACAACTACCACAAAAAAAGAAGAATCAACTGATTTTATCAAGTAAAGAGTGCAAAAAACCAGCCATATACCCTGAGTTCTTTCAGCTTTACCTTCTGTGAATTCAGTGGGGCCACAAAGTGAGGAAACAAAAGTCACCCTCTGGATAGAGGTACTTGGTGTTTTCTGTCCTTTTCTGTCCCCCTTGAATTACTCACAGTCTTGCAAAGAAGAGATTGCTGTTCTGCTGGCTAACAAGAGGAGAAAAGAGGTCCACAGGCCAGAAGGACTGTGGGTAAATGTAAATGGATTTTTCTTGGGTGTTGCTGTTTTCCCTTATGAGAAGTCTAATACTTTAAGGTCTGCTACTCTTATTTCCTGCTTGATACTTGGCTTTCAACTATCCCAACCACACAGCAGGCCCAATCTTGTTCAAAGGCCTCTGTGCGACCTCAGGAAGGACCAATATAGACCATGAAGAACCAAAAATCCCACTCTTCTAAGCAAATAATGCATTCTTTAATTTCTAAAAATTTATCAAAAATAAGACAATTTAAATCTCACCAAATCATCCAAAACTTTTGAAAATGCCTTAGAATTCACATTTCTCTTGGTAGAAATGTGACCTCCTTGAGCAGGAAAACAACTTCCGGACTTCAATGTATTGGAAGCTAGCTTCCCTGTTCCAGGAATTCCATGCTTAGAACCAGAAGCATCTAACAGTGTTCCATCCTGTGTCTTCTTAACTCTTCCCCAAGGTTGAGATAATGTTTATTTGTTGAACAAAGCCGTCATCCAAGTGCAGATTTGTTGAAAAGCTTCCAAGCAAGTTGAGAGGCCAAAGCAAGGAGGAAGAACAGCTAATCAGAAATCAAGAGCAAGAAAAGTTACATCCAAAATAGAGTACAAAATGCCCAGAATAGCCCAGAAAGACAGCTGATGACCTTTTCCTCAAAAATATCTTAATATCACAGTACCAAATAGCCTAACTATGTCAAGCCAAGCATATAACAACTACTACAACAGGAAAGGAATTAGGTAAAAAACAAACAACAAGCAAGAAAAGCTGATGGAAAAATAACAATTTGTGTTCTGAACCACAAATAAGAACACAGAAGACAATTAACTGTTGTATTGTAGTTAGGATTACACCACTGGTAAGGGATTACACCTCAGCTCAAGGTAATAGTCACAAGAAACTCTCAGGGCTATTTCAATCGGAAAGCTGCTATAATTTCTACAGTGATCGCACATGTTATCTTCTGCCTAGGGACTAAGTGGATCCTGCTACAATGGCTGTAAATTGCACATCCCTAATTTAAGTCTCCTCTTGGCTGAAGCAGCTCTGGGCTGTGATTTGACCAGGAGACTAGAACAGCGCTACAGTACAGAAGGAATGCAGACCACACCCAGGGAACCCAATCTCATTTCTTTGATTACCATGCATACAGCCTTGAGCTACTGCTAAATAATAGATTTAAGAACTATTGAAATGCCTTCCCCCATTTCTCTACTCCTGAAGCAATGGGAAACCATGGCTCACTGAAACGACGGAGTCAGAACCCAGGTTTCCCCAAAATACCATAACATTAAACCACACATCCACTAAATAGGTGTAAAAAATGCCTTGGACCCTCTCCCCTCTTCTTAAAAAACTGTTGAGGCTATATATTTAAAAGTCATCAGAGATACTTGAGCCTCCTAATTAAATGTATAAATGCATGGAGACTTCAGAGAAAAAAACAACACTTGCTCAGTTATAGAGACAGCATGTATGCACACACACATACACACGCCACTTATTTGATCATTTGCTAAATGTGCAAACTCTTCCTCTGTCTACAGTTACACACTAGCATATCTGTCTCATAAAGGAAAAAAAAAATCAAAGTCATTGGCTGCCAATTTCCTAAGAGGTGAGGAGAAAGCAAAGCAACTGAGAATGAAAAGACTGCTATGGCTTTGACAAGATGAGCAAATAGCTTCTAACAGCCCACAAACTCCATACACACACACACACATACGTACACACACACACGCAAAGCATCTGCTTGAAGAGAGAGTTCTAAAAGCCCAACTAAATCTCTATCTGATGGTAAAAGTGAGCCTAGATATTTGGTAGGAAAAGGAGAAAGCACTAAAGAAAAAAAAATGGAAAAGAAAACATTTTGTGAGTTACATGATGAAACCAAGATCATTTATATATTGTCCAGTTATCACGAACCAATTAAGCACAAAACAAACAACATGTGACACAATCCCAAATAAGACTGCCATCCCCAAGCAGTATTTTTATAATTTTTAGTACAAATTGCATAAAATAAGATTTAGTTCACAAAAGACAGTCAGGAGATAGAAAACCCCAATCCCCACATAATAATGAAAGTGATTTCAAAGACTGCAAAAAGGGTACAGAGAAAAGGGCGCAAAGGACAAATCCACAGTAGATGCTTTTCTTTGGGGATGACATTATCTCAGTGGCTACAAATTGCCTACTTACAAACCACTACACTACAGGGTGGAGTGATGATACAGGCAAGCCTGAGTGAATAGCTAACCATACAGTCCCACAGCCTTCCTTGGCCTAATGCAGAGAAGACAGAGATGAAGCTGGACAAGTGGCTCCCACCTCATTCTTGTACCTGGGCCCATTCAGCCTCAAAAGTGGTACAACCAGACAGCATTCACCACTATCATCCATGAACTCAAGGACCACTGGCACAGAGGAGAGACTAGGGTGTTGCTTACACTCTTAGGCAAACGAAATTTCATATACGTGCCACCTGCCAGAACACCTAAGACTGAAGGTACAGCTGGGAGCAGTGGCTCACGCTTATAATCTCAGCACTGTGGGAGGCCAAGGTGAGAAGATCACTTGAAGCCAGAAGTTCAAGACCAGCCTTGGCAATAAAACAAGACTCTGTCTCCACAAAAAATTTAAAAACTAGCCGGGCATGATGGCACACGCCTGTAGTCCCAGTTACTCAGGAGACTGACGTGGGAGGATCACTTGAGCCCAGTGAGCAAGGATCACATCACTGTACTCCAGCCTGGGCAACAAACCGAGACCCTGTCTCTTAAAAGAAAAAAAAAAAAAGAGTATAATGTATAAAAGTACAAATTTCCTTTGTGCAAAATGACCCTAGTTTCCCACAAATCTCAGCTCCACTGGTCTCTTTTTGAACAAGTAAACCAGTTCAGACAACCAAGAGTGTCTTCACTGACTCACCCTGGGGAGGGACATGTCAAGGACACATGGACAAATGTTTCCTTGCATCCTTCCTCTGAGTTTCAGTCTAAGGTGAGGCAAGTAGAAAAATCTTTTTTGTTAGTATTCACTACACTTAAATTAAAAACCGAAGTCTCATATTTTTAAAAAGTGAACTGAAAACGCTCATAAAGTATCAGATACAAATGGGTAATCTTAGTAACAAGAATGAGAAATAAAATGACTATCATTTTTAGTGCTAGGTCTATGTGCCCTGAAGCATAATACTAACACTATTGTAGTCAATTGTTACAGCAGATTTGGGGGGAATCTTAGAGGCGGAGATTTTACCATCCCCATTTTACAGATGTGGAAGCTGATCCAGAAAGGTCACGAGACAAAGTGGTGGAATTGTGATCTGAATGCAGAAAGGTCTTAAGGCAAAGCCCACATGCTCACATCCCATATTTGTTTGGGAAAATACATTTTTTCCTAGTTCTATACTTTTAAGTTCATTCTGGGCTCAAGATTCATACTTTTAGGGACTGGTTTTTCAAAGCTTCCTTAAAACAAGTTAGGCTTAATGAATTTGTTCAGAAAATTCTTTGAGAGCTCCTTCTGAGCTCAGGCCTGCCTCTATTTTTCTTTCTCTATTCGTCTCCCTAGACACATCGGGTCTCACAAGCTGAGTCTTCCCTGGGGCTCTTACTTTTCCAGGTTCTTGATCTGATTGGTAAGATATCCTGACAGTTTCTATAGGAATCCAGACACATCTCTTTTCTGGATCTATTTCCTCTTCCCCTACATAGTCCCTTCCTGTACCATGCAATCAAAACCCTTCTCTGCCAGGACAATAAGCCCCACCACATCACTCACATATCAGAGAGGGCTTCCACCTGGCCACACCCCACAAGAGTAATCTACAAAAACATCTTCATCTGTTCCTGTTGAGTAAGCAGCTTGGAACATCACATTGAAGCAGACAAATCACTTGGCTACCTAAAGTTCAACATCATTCCAAAGTGCCACGAATTAAAATGACTTTAGTACCTGAACAAACAAAATAGAATCATCACCAAAAGATATGCACAACACATTCATAGAAGCGCTATTAGTAATACACCCAAACAAGAGACCATCTAAATGTCCAGCAACTGTAAAATAGGTATACAATTGAATAGCATTAGAGCAAAGAGAATGCAAAAAATATTGTACATAATATTGTAGATTTCACAAACATAATAAGCAAAACAAGCTAGACACAAAAGAATATTCACTGTATGATTCTATTCATAAAGACAAACTAAACAAAGGCATCACAAGGCAGGATACCGGTTGCTTCTGGAGCATGAGGGGAGGAAGGCTCTGAGGTGCTGGTAATTTTCTACTCATCAAGGTGCTGATTGAAGAGGTGTGTTCACTTTGTGACATTTATTCCCTCAAGCTATCCACTTAATGATGTGTGCACTTTCCTCTACGCATAAGGTCCTTCAGCAAAGAGCTGACTGAGACAGACCCTTGAAAGCATCTGGTCCGTGCCCTTTGGTTTGCATAAGATCAACTGTTTCCCATGGACCTTAGATAGCTCATGGACACAGAGGAAATTCCTGAAAGGACTGGAACTGGACAACAGATCTCTTAGCTCCCCACCCAGGTACCAAAGCTGTGTGACAGGATGTTTCTCTAACTTCCTTTCTTTCTGTGACTCCAGCCAAGGTTTTAAAGGGTGAGAATCACAGTCCTATTATGAATATGATCCAGAAGGTTCCAATCTCTTATTGACATCCATGCCAGGAAAAGCATCTAAGCACGCTTTAGGATATGGCAAATCAGAGAAAGTCAGACAGTTCACACTCACTGACTAGGTGACTGTCAGCACGCTCCTTACCTCTCTCGGATCCTCATCCAGATCACTGAAGTGTTAACTGTTACCCTGCAAGGGTGCCTTGAAGATAAGGTAATAAGTAGTGTCAGGGCCATGCCTGGTACACGGCAAGCATTCAGAAACACTATTTGTAGAATGAACATGGAATCGAATTAATCAAATGCCTGTCACTTGGTAGAAGCTCAATAAATAGTAGTTATTATTACTGAGCAAGAGAAATAGGGAGAAAGTGGGTAAATATGCCTGTGAGAAACCAATACCTCATATTCTAAGCCTACTGGGTCATTAATGGGTCAACTAGCAATTCTCGCTGGTGTAGATAAGGTAGTGAAATGGTCTGTGAGGTGAAGAGTGATGAAGGACTCGAGAAGAGGGCTGTGCTTTTTATTTTATGTTCTACCAAGTCTGTGTCTTCCTTCTCAGTGCCAAATGAAGATTTGCTCACTGCCTGCCACACCGCGTCTAAATCCTACAGCCACCTATGTTATTCATACTACTCTTAGAATTTACAGGTTTTAAAAGGGCGAGCAGATACAAACACTCCTAGACTTAATGAGTAGACTCACTAGAGTCAAGTAACTTTACTCCTGGAAAAAAATTCACACACACTGAGAGGAAATTGCAGGTTTTAGAGAGTCTGAAATGAACCATGGCCAGAAGTGAGTTCACTTACATTTTTAAAAAGCAGGTTTAAAGCTGATTTATTTCAGTTCTTCAAATCTTGGATGTACTCAGCAAAGTGATCCACACGTTCTTTTATACTGAAAAGAAACAAATACAAAAACGACAAGTTAAAATTATAGCACATCAGAAAAAATAAAAGTGGCAAATGGCTGATTATATAAAGAATATTAAACTAGATAACATGAGTGTAATTAAAAACAACAAAACGTGTTAAGGACTTCCTTCCATTCATCCTTTCTCTCCTATCCTCCTTCTTCCTTCTTCCCCGTCCAGCACTCCACCCTTCTCTCCCTTCCTTCCTCAGTTACTGGACAACCTCAAATATTCCCTGATGACTAATTTTTCTGCTGAAGCCACCATCATTAATTTTTATAGCACAAAGTAGTAGTAGCACATGGTAGGTACTCTATGAATGTTTGTTGAGTAAATGAATGAACCACGGTTTTGCAATATTTTGTCGTTAAGGTAAAAAAAAATGGGAAATGTCCACAATTTATTATTTTGTTGTCCAACAGGAACAAGTTGTATAAAATATGTAGAAATACATACACTATTTTTCAGACTTGCATTTTTGATTCTCTTATCTCTTGAATAACTCATACTTAGGGGAAAATCCCCACTAGTATATACAGGAACATATATCCTCACCATGATACAGTAATAAAATATATTTTGGTACTAAAAGAATATTTAAGAACAGTGAACGTTCCTTTTGAGATGCCCTCTCTTCAAATACTTCAGAACTAACTGCATCCAAAGGAGAAAGCAAGGTGTCTCCAAGTTAAATACCAGAGATATTCCCATACATGTTTTACAAATGCATAAAGAGTCAGGGCCAGTTCTAGACAAAATTATGACGTATGGATGTGGCTGTTTCCTTCCTTCTATCTGTCCTTGTGAGGATTCATTAACCCCAGATGTTTAATCAAGTAGGGAAGCAAAAGGATCAGCTCCAAGGTTGCAACAACTTAATGGATATCCTTCATGAGGACATTTTTTATTAAAAAAAAAAAAAGCTTCAGAAAAGGCAGGTGCTTAACAGTGAAATAAAATGCATTACTGGCTATGGCATTTCAGGAATGAATGGGGGTGTGGATTTTCATCGTGGAATTTCTCAACACCCCATCAAATCACATCAGGTAAGTATCTGTCCATTCCTCTTTCTCCTACCACTGGCTTCATATATGGCCCATATATACACACCAATCCCAGCAAATTTTAAGCAACTTATTATATGTAAACAGGCAAGCTCAATTTTAAGACTAGGGTGCGCTCTGAAAGTAAACAGTCATGTTAATGAGCAGTTTTCAAAGTGAGCTCCTAGGACTCCCACCCTAAGATGCTTCAGAGAGCAGAGGCAGAAGTGAGTGGATGTGCAGCCATGGGCACAGCGATTTCACTTTCATCTGTTTCAGACTTAGACACAAGATTTAGTTGGAGAAGTGGTGCCTTGAGCTGTTTATGAAAGAGCTGAAACAATCAATGTTACCAAAGAATAATTAGATTAAAATCTAGTGCAGAAAATCCCAGTCAGTCCACAACACAGCTGATCTAACACCAAAATCCAACCGCCACCTGTCATAGGGCCTTTATGGTAAAATACAAGTCCCAGCCTGAGCCCCAGGGCAGAGGTCAGTCCGGGTCTGAGCAGACAGGAGCTGGGCCTTCTCTTCTTCCCTACTTAGCCCCCTCATCTCCTGCTCTGGAACGTAATGAGCAGAAGGAAGGGCACCTACACTTCCATGAGGACTGAGTCAACAGTAAGAGGGCAAGATTAGGCTGCAGGGGGAGGCTGCAGATGTTCACAAGATGGATAAGCAAAGGTCTCCAGCAGAGAACAAGACATGGCGGGTTTCTGCAAGTCAGTCACTTCCCAGGCCCTGTCCCGATCCCCACCAGCCTCTTTGCTGGGAATTCCATGTGCAAGGTTTACACGCTTCACCTGGATCAGGGCTCTTGGCTAGGAATAAGAAAGGAGAAAATTAGTAGAATAGTTTAAAAAGAAGAAGAAGACAAAAACCTATGTTCTATAAAATCCAATTCAAAACAATATGTTAAATGAAAAAAAAAGCGGTGGGGGATGGGGCAGAGATGGGAGGAGGATTATGAGAAAATAAGTATTGCCTGAATGTGCTCCAGAGAAATTCACATTAACTAACAGGCACTGAGTATATTCAATCCCTCCCTCAGCACAGAGCTCTGATTATTTGGCCTAACCAGGACTGAATACACAAAAACATTTATAAACATGAACCATTATATTTTTTGAGTTTTCATCATAGGACTTGTTTAAGTAAGTCAAAGATGTTCTTTGTTCTACAGTTTTGATCAAATGAAGAGACTTTAGTCATTTCCTCAGAAACAGACTTAAGCTATAAATACTAACTAACCAACATAGCCACTCGCAAAAAATCTCAATGACAAGTTTAATTTGAAAACAAGAACACATTATCGAACTGAAAAGTAAGCCATAAAAAAATCCAAACCCATGCAAACAGCATTTCTAGAAGAAAAACCCTTAGTGAAATGACAAGCATAAATACAAATAGCTTGTTATTTGACTCACAAACCTATCCCATACATAGAGAAGCAAAAAAGAAACCAGTCTATATTTGGGTCCATTTAATCAAACAAACTCTTAACATCCTGCCCACAACCTCAGGTCTCAAATTCCAAGATAATTCTCCAACTGTTAAATAAGTGATTTCTATGGATCTCTTTGAGATAAAAAACACATTTGTTACTATTGCTTATTTTCTAAATCCCTTTGCTATCCTAAAGTATGACCATCATGAGACTAACATGTTAAACAATCATTAAAAATCAAAGTTTCTGTTTATCATAATACATAATGCCATATCTCAGCCTTCAAAATGAAATGGAATCTATAGTCTCCTTTCAGATATGACTTAAGTGTCTAAAGCAAGGGTCTGTAAGAAGGCCAAATGTGGGTCTGCCACCTGTTTTTGTAAATAAAATTTTATTGGAACACAGCCACACCCATACATTTACATTTTGTCTGTGGTTGATTTTTCCAAGACACAATAACAGAGTTGAGTAGTAGCAACAGAGACCATAAGATCCACAAGTATAAAATGTTTATATCTGGCCTTTTAAGAAAAGATTTGCTGACCTCTGGTCTAAAAAGCCTGCTACTTCAGTAGACTGTCTTAAAATAAGAAATGCTAATCCTGGTATAGTCATGTTGCTGGATAATTACCTAAGTCACTTAACCTTTAACTGCTTTAATTTTTTCATTTATGATACACTAATTGTGATATTCGTTGGGAACTTATATACCAGGGAATATTTTAAGAGCTTTGCTCTTAGTAAATAAACAACAAATCTGTTCATTTAATTCTGACAAATATCCTAGGAAAGAAGTAAATTATTTCCACCTTCTAAATGAGATAATCAAGGCAGAGGGGTTAAATAACTTGTCCAAGGTTAAGTAGTGGAGAAATCAGGACCAGAACCCAGGCAGTCCAGCTCCTGAGCTCATTTCTTAATCTTTATGCTACGTTGATAATACTTTCCATTTTATAAATTATACAAAATAAAATCTCAAAAGGTCTGTTAGTTATGTTAGGTCAATCCAGTAAAATATACCTCTGCATAATTTAGGTTAAGATACCAAAAATAAGACTATACATGGACTTCCATGGACTTTTAAGACCCATCTAAGATTAGAGCTAATCTTGGGGTACTGGGAATATAAAAGCTTATCATTCTTTATTTTTTAGCATAAGTAATCAAAGAATCAAGCTAACTGACCAATATCTATCTTTTCCTTGGTAAGTAAGGCCTCTCCAGGAAGTTCAGGCCCTTCAGAAAGGCTTCAGGAGGAAGACTTAGCAGAGAGACTCTAAATCTTCCAAGTTTGTTCCCATCTAGTCTTACCCCCCACCAAGTTTCCATCTGAGAAAACGTTGAGTAAGCATCAACAGACTTTACGGAAAGATTGTTCTCATAGCCTGGCAAAAAGAGCTCTATCCAGCCACAACCATCACATGGTCAGGAAGATGTCCCCTTGCTGAATCACCCCCACCACTTCCTGAAGTTCTCTGGGATTTTGGGAGGAAATATGTCACCTAAATGTGACTCAGTGCCCTTCTGTACTGAAAGATAGGTTTATATGATTCCAAATAAATCGAGAGAAAACATAGCACTAAATTACTCATCACCAAGTCATGTGCAGAGATGGTCTTAATCTTTTTGTTGTTTTGGGCTTTTTTTTTTTTTTTTAAGAGACAGGGTCTCACTTTGTCATCCAAGCTGGAGTGCAGTGGTACAATCACAACTCACTACAGCCTCGAAAGCCTGGGCTCCAGCAATCCTCTTGCTTCAGTCTCCTGAGTAGCTAGGAATACAGGTGTGCAAGCTTGACTAGTTTATTATTTTATTTTTTTGTACTGATGAGGTCTCACTTTGTAACCCAGGCTGGTTTCTAACTCCTGGTTTCAAGTAGTACTTCCATCTCAGCCTCCCAAAATGCTGGGATTACAGGCATGGGCCACTGCACCCGCCGGCTTTTAACCTTCTTTTTAATCACGCTAGTCTCCAACTGGTTTTCAATGTCTGCAGAGTAAAGTCTAGATCCTTGAGTTTGACTTTAAAGACCTTCCACATCTTGTCTTTCTAACTTTTCCAACCTCATCTCCTTCCATGTTTGGTCTTCATGCCTCCAGGATGGCCGGCTTTTTCTTCAGTATATCATATCTACTCCTGTTTCTGAGGCCATACTCATTCTGTACCCTTTGTTAAAGACCCTATTTTCTCCTCTACTACCAACATCAAAACCTATACTAGCAACACACTCAAAACCATATTTGTGGCTCAAATATGGTTTTGGCTTCTTAGATCTTGCCCAAATCATGAAGCCTTTTCATATTATGTCCCTATGTAGTCTTCCTTTTCTCTCATTGCCAACACCCGTTACTATTTCCACCACCCATTCATTCGGGTATTTAATCATGTATTAATGTTCACTGTTTAAATATTCCAAAAGTCTGTTTTGCTTTCTCAATAAGACATTGTTTCTCAAATAACAGATTCTTTCAAATAGATGCTTGGCATTTTCAAATTGTAGATGAAGAGTCCTTGACAAGTAGAGCTAACTTAGCTGAGAAGCAAATTCAAATCACAAGCTTGGGCTGTGTTAGTTACATGGAGCCCAGCCAACCAATAAACATCTGCATTCCAAGAAAGCTTTGTTTTCTGACTATCTAGTAACTCTTATGAGCAAACTTCAAACTTATTTCTTTGTGGGATTGTTAGAAAAAAGCCAGCGGTCAGTCCTAGCAATGAAAGTGAAGATCAAGTGGTACAAGAAAGTGATAGCCCTTAGCCAATAAAATAAATAGACATTAAAGAGATGAAGAAATTACATGTTATGGTATATCTGCAAATCTAAGGATGGATGAGGGCTTGGGATTCATGCCTTATGCTTTAAAGGGTTTAGTGTGCAGTTTTTTCTGTGTTCCCACAGTACTAAGCACTGTGTTGTAAATACTAGCTCAATGAATAATCTGATAATCCCATGTCCCAAAGTCCTCAGTGAACCCATTTTCCATGCCAAAATAAAAGTCACTGTAGTCAATTTCCCTCGAGGTTGCAAAATTTTAGTATTTGCAATATCTATTGACATATTACATCAAACAGGCCCACATGTTTTTAAATTAACATGTTGCTTTGCAATCATATTTGAAGTGTTTAGTAATGGCTTGCTTTCTTTGCCAATACTGCCAAATTATTTTTATTTTCCACAGTAAAATCCTAATTCAAAGATTCTGAGCAATTGTGGAATTCAAAAGTTGTCATTCTTTGAAAATTTTGACTGAATTGACTGAAATGATTAAAGTCTGCCATAAAGTTTTATATAAAAGTAAACATATGTAGAGTAATATGCTGTGTGAGACTGTACTGGCAGCCTAGTGAAGGAAAGAACATGGTTCAGCTTCCTGGTATACCAATTATATACCAATTTTTCTTTGTGGCAAATACTTTAAAACTTTATTTTATATGAGAATAATATGGACTGAAGTGCAAAATTTACATAACAATGTATTAAAACTATATAAAAATATGAATTATAGCATAAAAATTACATAACAATATATTTAAACAGTGGGTTTCAATTCAGTTGGGGGCAAGAACTTTAGAGTAGATGTTCTCATTATTTGTACATTTCTTGAAGCATCAGGGTAGAAATCAGAGATTGCGGATTACAGTCAGTCATCATGTCCTCAGAGGAAAAAAGCATTCTATAAATGTCCTGAAATATGTTCTATCTTTTTGAAAATGTGAGAGAAATGACTGCGCCACTCTCAAAATTCAGGCACCCATACCTAAGAAATCCTGTAAAATCAAGTATTTCCACTAAATCACTAACCAATGTGTTACTGCAAATATCACTCAAAAAATATGAAGTCAAACCACTGAGATCCCACAAGCATTGTGAAAGGCCATTCTGAACTAATGTGAAATTTGTATAGTGATTGAATAAAAACAATGACTTCAGCCCACTGGTATATAACACTTTATCATGTCGGTAGAACTGCAGGAACTAACACACCCCAGTGAGGTCATCATAGGTCTGAAAAGTGGGTTGGCTCATTATGAATTCTATCATTACTGACCCAGCAAGAACAGTAGAGACTCTTTCCCATAAAATGCCCCACATGGAATAGGCACATTTTCATTGTCAGATTACAACCATGTTCTCTGCATCATGTGTGTTTGAGGGAAAAAAAAATGGATTGGTGGGTTCATCTCCTCCCCCATTTTCCCTCTCATTTTACCACGGACCAGATTGATACATGCTTTTTCGGTGGGTAAATTGGCAATTGACAATGCTCATCAAAAGCCCTAAAAATATAATAGCCTTTGGCCCTTCATTCTACATTTATTAGACTTACAAGAAAAACCTGGAAAAATGAGCAACGATGAATATATACTCCTTTCACAAGAATGTTATAATATTTATAATTAAAAAATGGAAACAATCCAATGTTTGTACACTGAGGTACATCCATCAGAATATTAAGCAGAACCAGGTTACAGGAGTGGTTACCAATAATTCATGACACAGAAGGACCCTCATAATATACTAAAGGATCTGCTTTTTCATAAATATACACACACATAAAAGTCAGGAAGAATATGGTTTTCAACACTTTCTTCTTCCCCTTCATCACAGATCCCAGAGCAGTCTACTACCAGTAACATCTTTAATTAGAGAGAGATGTGGGAGGGGAGATGAAAGGAGAGGTATATGCACATTTTATTTTTTTATTTTTTTATTTTTATTTTTTTCTTTGAGACAGAGTCTCACTGTCGCCCAGGCTAGAGTGCAGTGGTGCCATCTCGGCTAACTGCAAGCTCTGCCTCCCGGGTTCACGCCATTCTCCTGCCTCAGCCTCCCGAGTAGCTGGGACTACAGGCGCCCGCCACCACAACCGGCTAATTTTTTTTTGTATTTTTCGTAGAGACAGGGTTTCACTGTGTTAGCCAGGATGGTCTCGATCTCCGGACCTCATGATCTGCCCACCTTGGCCTTATGTACATTTTTTCAAAACCCTTCCCACCCCCAGTCAGTGGGTCTTGTGTCTCCCTCTGAGGTATGCTATCATATGACAACATGTTGACAGTGGTTGTTACTGTGTGGCAGGATTTCAGATTAATTAAATGTGATTTAATTTTTCATTTTGTTTATCTGTACTTTATAATTTTATTATAAACATTAGGTATTGTTTTTGTCAAAGGAAGCAAGCAAGATGACTTAGAGGGTAGAATTTGAAATCAATCAGCCTGACTTTTAATACCCCATGTCCACAACTTTTAGCTATATGATCTGTCAAGTTACTTAGCCTAGCTAAGCCTCAAGTTTTCTCATCCAACAAATAGGCAGAATAGTATCCAGCTATTTTATTATTAGGGAAGCTAACAGAACTGCATATTCGATAAAGGAATGATTACTATATAGTATGTAAAATACAACTTTATTTAAGTGTATATATTTTAAGAAAAAAATTGAAATCCTAGTCTTATTGGGAAAGAAAATAAATATATGGTGAAAATTTCATCTGCAATGGTAACCAAAAATGCATATTAAACAGCCATGAGTTACCATTTTACATATACCAAAACACACAAAAAATCCTAACTCTCACCGGTGGCGATGTTGTAGAACTCTAAATAACAATAACTAATTGGAAATATCTGAATATCCATTATTAGAGGGATGGTAAATGGTTTAATTAATTTGGGGAAGTCAAAGCAATAAAATTAAGAAATTATCAAGGCTATAATGCTAAAGACCATGGAGAACAGGATCTAAAATATCTAAACTTGGAAACTGTATAAAATGTAGGCTGGACGCGGTGGCTCACACCGGTAATCCCAGCACTTTGGGAGGCCGAGGCAGGTGGATCATGAGGTCAGGAGTTTGAGACCAGCCTGTCCAATATGGTGAAACCCTGTCTCCACTAAAAAATACAAAAAAGTAGCTGGGCATGGTAGCCAGTGCCTGTAATCCCAGTTACTCGGGAGGCTGAGGCAGGAGAATTGCTTGAACCCCCTGGGAGGCAGAGGTTGCAGTTAGCCGAGATTGTACCATTGCACTCCAGCCTGGGCAACAGGGCAAGACTCCGTCTCAAAAACAAACAAACAAAAAAATGTAGATATATGCACAGGAATGATTGAGGTGAGTAGGAACATGTGAGAATGAGGAAGGGAGACTTTTTGACAGAGAGCCAGTGGGCAGGAAAGCAGAGGGGTGAATTAAAGAGTGCCTCAGCAGTCAGACCAGAAGGCATAGTCAGCCATCCAACTATTTATGTATAGCCATACAACTATTTGTGTTGTATGAAAGATAATACGAGACTTCTACTTTGTAGGTGTGTTTACAGTATTTAATATATCAGTGCAATAATGTGTGTATTATTTATAATAAATATACATACTGAAGGAGATGCTCACAAGTTTGATGACAGCAGTACCCTGATGAAAAAGGTTCAGAGCCCACTGCAGAAGGCTTTAAAGCGGGAGAAAAATCAACATCAAATTAGAATTTCAAAAAGATCATTCTGGAGACCACACCAGAGGATGAATTTGGAGGCAGGGGATGCAATTATGGTTTCAGGGCCATGAACTAGCAGTGAGAATGCAGGGAAGAGTAAAACTGAGAAAAGCATTTAGGGGATTCAGTTGGGGCATGAAGAAGCAGACATCACTGATGACTCTATGACTCTGGTTTCTGACCTTTTTCTCTGTGGTAACAGAGAATTCAGAAGACATAAAATAAAGTGGCAGGGGGTGCATAATTAAATTTTTATCACATTTGAGTTCAAAAAGCCTATGGAACCTCTTGGTGAATACATATACAATGTAGTTGGAAAAACAGGTCCAGAAAGTTTAGTAAAAATCCCTGGGTTCATTCATGGTTGAACTTCATCTGTTTAAAAGTGGTCAGCAACAAGATGGGTTATTGATAAATTCACTGGGAAAGAACACAGGTCATGGAAGCAAAGCCATTAAATAATTTTAGGAAGGAAGTTTCTAGAAGACGGGAGAAGTCTGGGAGAGGCTGGAAGGAGAAGGCTGGCTAGGGAAGCCGGCTCTGTTAAGTGACCCACTACACCCACAAGCACTCCGTGATTGAGAACATCCTGGCATCATATCTGCTTCCAAAGCAAAACAAGGCCCCTCCACTTCCATCCCTCATCCTTACACAGTTGGAAGCTGAATGAGATGGGCTTGGTGAAGAAAGATGTAACACTGGCATTCTTAACTTCTACAGAAAGCAGTAATTAAACACACTATCCTAAGCTTAATATATCACTTAAGAACACTCTCCCCTGCAAACTTTGATTTTTAAATAGTCAACCAATACAAAAAAGAATACAGCAGTACTTTTTGAGATTAAAAGCAAAATCTCCCTAATGAACCAGAAAACATGAAAAAATAACTTCTAAGATTACTGTGGCTACATTTGCCTAACTGCCTGACCAGCATTAATGACAACTTCTCTTTCTTATGAGATCCCATGACCCTTCTTCTTCACAACACCATCAAGGGCTGTAACTTTTTGAGGCCACTATGGGTCCATGCCATGTAGTCTCTTAAGAGGAAAGATGAGTTAGATTAAAGGCAAATTTTATTCTTTTCCCGTTGCCCTTAAAAATTAAAAAGTCTGGTGGCTGGGCACCGTGGTGAGAGCCTGCAATCCCATCTACTTGGGAGGCTGAGGCAGGAGGATTGCTTGAGCCCAGGAGTTTGAGGCCAGCCTGGGCAACATAGCAATACCCCACCTCTTAAACTTTTTTAAGTCCAGAATGTCTCCTTAATGATATGGGATATAAACTTATCTTGGGTTTCAATCAGTGTCCCGACAATATCTACTTGATCTGAATGCTGAGCCAGGATTAAACTTCACTGAGACCAAACAACCTTTCCAGACTTTAAAATACCTTAAGTATTTTAAGTTTTAAATTAATTTATTGCTTAAGTTGGATTTACCAGTTTATTTTTTTTCCTGAAACTTTCATTATGGAAAATGTCAAAGATGTACCAACATAAGTAGATTAAGACAATGAAGTGCCAAGTACCCATGACCAGCTTCAATAATCACCACCCATGCCAATCTGGTTCCATCTATCCTCCCACCACCCACACTCCCATATTATCTTGCAGCAAATCCAAGAAATCCTATCATTTGTTCCATGAATATTTTAGTACATATGTCTAAAAGGTAATTGTAAGACTATTATCATATTCCCCCAAATTAGCAATAATTCCTATTGCTAGGGAGAGGAATTTCTATGCCAGCATCACCCCATTTCTAGTCAGTGATCACATTCCCAATTATTTTATAAAAGTTGTATCTAAAAACCATTTGTTTAAATTAGGGTTTCATTAGGACCCACCACTGTGGTTGGTTGATAGATCTTTAAACAGTGTTTCAATCTACAGGTTCCTTCTTCATCTTTTTTCTTTTTCCTTCCAAGTTATTCACTGAAGAACCTGAGTTATTGGGCCTGTAGAGCACCCCATGGTCTGAATTGTATTTGCAGGTACAATTTAATACATTCCAGTTCACCTTTAAAATTCACGTAGGTTAATTTTTCCTTATTGATATTCTGCCCTTTATTGATATAGATTAGAAAGACAGACAGAACAAAACCAGTGTGCTTTCCTCTTCTGCTAACACTGAGTAATATGGAAGATAAACTGAGGCACAATGTGCAAAGGTGCCACAAAATTGCCTTTGGGGCAGGAACAGACTTATTATAAAGTAGTATTTAGATCCTAGTAACAGGGGTAGGAAACAGATGTTCCAGACTGATCCTTTCTTTCCCTCCTCAACTCCCTTTTCTGGTACAGAGCGGTTAGTAGGATGGGCTCTGGGATTTGGCTGAATCCCAGCTCCAGTACTTGCTGACCGTGTGGCCTTAAACAAGCTGACTTAACTTCTCTGTGCTTCAGGGTCCTCATCTATAAAATGGAGATTCCATAATTCCCACTTACTGTGTGAGAATTAAGTGATGTAATTCACATAGAGAGCTTAGCAAACAATAAGCCCTCACCCACTGCCCCAAAAGTCCTCATTATTATCCATTTTTAGTAGTTGTTATCCGTAATTAAAAGTTAAAATCTCCTCCTCAAACTAAAGCTTAACTTTGAGGGACTACCTCTTTTCTTCACCCCTGTCCCCCATCACTATTCTAAATGGGGTTTTATCCTAAAGGCTTTTGATTCACTTGAGTTTTTACCAATTTCTGTCTAGAACAGTACTTCTGAAGAAAACCCATCCTTGCTATGCAAATAATATACTTTCCATATTTTGCGAACAGCAGGTGGAGTCAGCTGTCCTGGAATACAATCACAGAGCTAATCTTCTGTGGAAGAAGCATTCAAGTGAGAGACATAGTTTTTTCTTTGACTATCATGGGCCAAACCTAGCATGTGGCAAAAAAACCTTCATAAGTTCTAATCTGCTGGGCTTGGTGGTGGCGGTATCAGAGGTATCCTATGGTCTTAGGTTTTAATTACTAATAATGTGAAAGTTATCATTTAAAAAATGTATTCGATACCTACCACTGGGCTACATGGTATAGGGAACCAAAAAAACTTAATAATAAGGTAAAGTCTCTTTCTGGGAAAAAAAAATTTCATGATCCATTAGGAGAAGCATATTAATGACCTATAATGTAATCTAACATAAGGCTGTCACATGAGATGGGCAGATGAAATACTAGGAAAAACCAGGAAAAAATAACTTATAATTAAGGGTAGTTATGGGGGCTATTTAAGAAGGAAAAGTGAGTAAGATGGAGAAATAACATGGTTAGGATGTAGCAAGATGAGCTGGTGAAAACAGACGGCAAAGTAGTGCTCAGAGAGGAAAATTCGGGTTAGTACAATCATAGGGTCCAGGGAATGAGACAGCTTCAGAGAAGTCGTGAAGACAAACGACTGTAGGTGTTAAAAGGAGTGAAGAAGTAAGAGCAATGAACGTAGACCCCTTCACTGTTTATAAACTCAGTATGAAAGAACGAAGAAAAGACGGGACACGGGGAGTAGCACAGAAGGAGGAGTCATTAGTTATGTGCTTAGGAAGGGGGACATCCTGAATGTTTTTATGCAGATAAAAGGTAGAGAGAAAACAACTGGACATGTGAGACAGGAAGGAAAAGAAGTGACCCTGGAGACAAAGAAATGCTGGCAAATGAATATAGAGAAATACGGTGAGGTGAAAAAAGAAAGAGAAGCCCTAGAATCAAGATGACTAGCTCCCAGATGTGTTTTGTTCTAGCCCACACAGTATTTCCAAAAATGTGACTTCAACAGGTAGAGATTTCACTAGAAAACCAGATATTTGATTTTTCTAGAGAAAACAGAAGATGGGGCAATACTGAGCCCAGCTTTCCCCGGACTCCAATGAGTGCTGCCCCTCCTTGGGCAAGGCCAGCCTCCTGCAAGTCTACAACAGCCCCTGCCTAACACCCCTTTCATTTCAATAATTTCGATGGCCCCTGTTGACATTTGAATTGTGTCCCCTGACCCAGATCTTCTCAATAAAATAAGGTAGTGATGTCATCCTTAGAGATTGAGTGGAGACTGCAGACTGGGACTTACAAACTGTGTAAAAAGCATTCTAAGAGCTACTGAAGGAAATGGGTTGGGAAGTCAACAGGAGATGAAGAATCAAAGGACTGCTGTCTATTAATTAGTCTGCTGAAGAGACAGCAGTGATTCATCATTTTTTCTAGCAGTGCCCTACAGCCTGGAAGCAGCGGTCACAGGGCAGTCATGGCATAAGACAGGAAGACAAAGGGTTCTGGGGACCACCGGGGTCCTCGGTGAGGTGACTGGCCAGCACCTGGCCTTGACGGGGAGTCAAAGGGGCTGGCGGCCTGGGAAAATAGGAGAGGACGCCATGAGAACAAAGAGCAGATTAGGAAGAGGGAGGGAGAGAGGCAGGAGAGACCCGGAAAGCAAGATGAGAAAGTTTTCCCTGGAATTCTTCTGGCAGGAACTCGAAAATATTACCTGTATAAAAATATTAGCTGACAGACACACATCAAAGGCCAGAGGGAAGATGAACTTGGAGACTGTTGGAGAAAAGTGAAAGCACGTATAATTAGCACAAGAGGGACAAGTTAGTCATGCAAAAATTTACCTTTAAGGTACCTTCATCTCCCTGCCATTCAACTTCCAGAAATCAACTAGAAAAGAATTTTCTTTAAACAACAACAATGACAACAGTGAAAACAAGACCAGACTTGGTAAATCATAATGAAAAGGGCTCAGAGAATTTTATTTTTGTGAAAGGAGCTATGTGAATGTTTAAGAAGACTATTTCTAAACTACACACTTGACTCCCTTTCAAATATCCTTACATACAAATTTGGAGATAAAAAGTACACTCATTCTGTCTTCTTACATGCAGAGGACTGTATATATTATCTCAAGTTTTGAAGAAGAAAGACCAAAAGTTCAAAGTTAAGTAATTTCTCACTGTCTCACAGGTTGAATTCATGTAAAAAGGTAAGCATTGGCCAGGCACGGTGGCTCACGCCTGTAATCCCAGCACTTTGGGAGGCCGAGGCAGGCGGATCACAAGGTCAGGAGTTCGAGACCAGCCTGGCCAATATGGTGAAACTCTGTCTCTACTAAAAATACAAAAATTAGCCAGTCGTGGTGGCACGCACCTGTAGTCCCAGCTACTCAGGAGGCTAAGGCAGGAGAATCGCTTGAACACAGGAGGCGGGGGTTGCAGTGAGCCAAGATCGCACCATTGCACTCCAGCCTGGGTGACAGAGAGAGACTCCGTCTCAAAAAAGAAAAAAAAAAAAAAGGGAAGTGTTTATGGCTGGCTTGCCCAGTGCTGAGTCTTTGGGGTCTGCATATTCCTTAAGTCCCTTTATGTTAAAAAACAAAAAAACCCCACATATGCACAATGACATATTAAATGCAGGGAATAACTCTGACTGACAGCCTGGGGAAAGACACTAAGGAGGGAGTAGTGCCACCAGGATCCATGATGGGCGAACTTGAGGCTTTATCATTATTTCCTTGCTGGCTGTGGGGGTTGTTCTCAACTTCAAGGGATCACCTGCATTCCTTGGCTTATGGTCCCTTCAAAGTCGGCAATGGCAGGTGGAGTCTCCTCTTACCCTACAAGTCTTTTCTCTTTGTGCCCAGTCTCTCCACTGGTTCCCTCTTCTGCCTCATCTCTGAGTTGTCTGCTTTTTTTTTTTTTTTTTCTTTGAGATGGAGTCTCGCTCTGTTGCCCAGACTGGAGTGCAGTGGCACTATCTCAGCTCACTGCAAACTCCGCCTCCCAGGTTCAAGCAATTCTCCTGCCTCAGCCTCCTGAGTAGCTGGGACCACAGGCGCTGGCCACCACACCCAGCTAATTTTTTTTTTTTTTTTTTTTTTTTTTTTTTAGTAGAGATGGGTTTTCACCGTGTTAGCCAGGATGGTCTTGATCTCTTGACCTCGTGATCCGCCTACCTCAGCCTCCCATAGTGCTGGGATTAAAGGTGTGAGCCACCACACCTGGCCTGAATTGTCTGCTTTTAAAAGCTTATGTAATTATTTACATACGGCCCACCTAGATCATTCAAAAAACTATCCCCAACCTAAGGTCAGCTGATTAGTAACCTTAATTCCATCTGCAAAGTTCCTTCACAGCAGTGCCTAGATTAGCGTTTGAACAACCAGAAGACAGGCAGCGTGGGGAGACATCTTTAGAATTATGCACACAATATCCATTTATATTCTGAGGTTAAAAAATAGAGATTCAAGTATTCCAATCTGCCTGGCAGTTATTTTTCAGGGTATAACCATGAACTGGCACTGCTTTTATATGAATTATTTCAATTAAATCTGCAAATGACTCTGTTAAATATTATCATAACCATCTTAACAACCAACAACATTGCGGTTCAGAAGTCAAATAACTTGCCCAGGAACACAAGAGCTGGCAATGGGAGAATCAGAATTAAACCCAGTTTTAGCAGTCTAAAAAGCTCATTTTCTTTAATATTTCTAAAAGTATGGCACAATAATGACCTTTAAAAAGAGTGACTTAGTAGTAATGGGAGTAGGGAATATTGATGTTTAAAGTTGCTAACAGGATTATCAACTAACTGGCTTTGTAAATTAAAGATAAAGGAAAAAATAAAATCATGGCCAACTAACATTTACAGGACAAGCCCAGGTTAACAAATTATGTAGCTCCAATTAAATCTCAATAACTTTTACCAAGATAATTTATACTGTCAAAAATCTTAATAATTGTAAAAATTACAAAAATAGCCATACAATGTAATATTAGTCCTGATATAATGCAAAGCAGGCTACATAATACCATGTATGATATTGTGCATGTTTGTGTGTGCACAGGCATGTCTGTGTAGATTTCACACATTTTCACTTCTTTCTTTTATTCAACAAATATTTATGGAGCATCTTCTATGTGCCAGACACTCATCTAGTTGCTGAGGATATAGCAATAAACAAAATACAGTCACTGCGTAGGAACAGCAAATAAATAAATAAACAAGTGAAAATACAAGAGACAGTGATACTATGGAGAGAACAATGCAGAGTTGGGAAAAAGAGAGCTCAGAGAGGAGGGTCGCTAGTTCATTTTGTTGATTAACTATTTGATTAAGACAGGGTACCACTCTGTTGCCCAGACTGGAGTGCTGTGGCAATCACGGCTCACTGCATCCTCCAACTCCTGGGCTCAAGTGAACCTCCCACTTCAATCTCCCAAGTAGCTGAGACTACAGGCACACACCACATGCCCAGCTAATTTTTAATTTTAATTTTTTTTTGTACAGATGGGCTATCACTATGTTGCCCAGCCTGGTGTTGTTGCTTTATATAAGTTAGCCAGGGAAGGCTGTGAAGGAAATGAGTGAGCTCTGCAGCTCTCTGGGGGAAAGCATCCCAAGCAGAGAGAAGAGCAAGTGCAAATGTGCAGAGGCAGAGGAGTGCTCGGAGAACTACAGAAACGAAAGCAGGCAGCTGTGGCTGGAGCAAACTGAACAAGGTTGAGATGATCAGGAGAGGTCAGAGAAGCTGGAGAGGAGAGACCATGCATAACTTCTGTGCCATTTTAAAGACTGATTTCCTTTTGAGGGAAAAGAGACGCCATCAGAGGGTTCTGAGGGCAAGGAAAATGACACATTTTATCCAACGATACAAAATAGAAGATCAAAACACCTACAGAGAGACCCACTCAGAACTCCATAGTTGTTATAAAGATTATTTTAAGCTAAAGATATTTGAGATTCAACCGACACAAAAAGCAGCTTTCTTGGAGCTTCCTTTACTGGACTAGAAGCAGAAATTTAAAGAAAATGAGGCTGCCATAATTTTCCTCTTAAGGTGGCTTTTACCCCCAGAAAGGAGGCCAAGAGTAAACCTACCATAAATCCCCTCTCCAGGGATTTTTGTGACCATGAAGAAGACAGAAAGACCAAAAGACCACTCACAATTGCAAGAACAAACTTGCTTATCTCTAGAAACCCCTTCCCCTTCCATAAAGAAACCCAGTGGTCCCTCCCAGAGGCCTTTTCTCTCTCCTCACTATTCCCTCCCTATACCCCACTATGTTAGGTATACATGTCTCTGGCTTTAACCAGTTGGCAAGCTTCTTACACACAGACTTTTTACTGTTATTCTGTCTTTTGTTGTTTTAATTCTTAGGCCCTCAGGATCTTAAGAGGTTAGAGGAAAAATATTCCTCCACAATACACAAAATCTAGCAAAAATCATCTCTTCAGGTGAGGTGATTATTTCTGAACTTTTGTTTTCCAGTTTTATGTGTTATTAAAAGAAAAAGTTTAGTACATAGGATATTAAGTTAGTTTTCAACAACAGAGAAATAAAGCTAACAGCAGCTCCTGTGGGGTAGAATGGTCAGGATCACAAGGATAAACCTCTGGACCAGGAGGGCTGGATTTAGATCCTGACTTTGTGCCCTTTCAAATTACCCAAGCCCTCTCAACCTCTATCTACTCATCTTAAAACAGAAGTAATAATAATACTCAACTCGTATGGCTGTGTTGATGTAAGTAACTCACTCACACAGTACTGAGCTCACAGGAAGAACCAAAATGTGGTCCTCTATTAGTTTTACCTCTAAGCACAGATGCAGCCAGTCCTGCTTTGAGGAACAGCCAAAATATGCCAATAATTTACAACATGTACTGGATGCAAATCATGTGTTCACCTGAGCTTTTCCTCTTCAGTCTGTCCTCAACAAGTCTCTCTCAAAGACAATACTAGTCCCATCTAATTTAATTTCCAAAATCCAAACTGATAGAATCCTTGAGGTTTTGCTACAAAGAACCCCAAATCCAAACCACCGAAAGAAACAGACTCATTTTGCATTTAATTCATTCCTGAGGTTTTGTGAACTCATCTTTCCTCAGGCAAATCCATGATCCTTTATTCCTCCCAAATTTTTAGTCAGGATCTAAGCCAGCCAATAATTTGAATTTAAAGTGCAGGATTACTGACTGCTATCTGGGAACACAGGGGAAAACCTTGGCATTTCAAAGACGAAAAAGCAGTAATATATTTTACACAAAGACAAAACTTCTGGGTGTACATTTTAAAAACATTTGAGTAAAGTTGTCCATGTGTAATACTTACCTGTCAACACAAATTCTCTCCACAGAAGAACATTACGTAGATTGTATTTTATCATTAAAGAAAGCCTCAGTCCCTGGCATGGTACATTCTAATTCAAATCACAATTACAGTGTTTTGTTTCTGAGGGGAGAAAGAAACAGCTTCAGCATCTCCTAGCCTATATGTCCTCTCTAGAAAATGTCAACTTACCCCAATTACATTTATTTTTCATGTAGAGAAATAGCAGGGTTTATTCCACATTGGTGCTATGTATGTACATAAAAATTTCACCATTTAATTTTTGTGTCTGGAAGGAGAGGAGCTTATAATTATGCCAAGAGGTATAACTATAATTAGGTTTTCAAATACCACAGGTATCCTTATGATCCAATTGTAAAATCACAGAGAGTTTTGGTACTGTGTTATTGGGTTGGCGTTTTTTCCCCTTGAACCATTACATTCCTGAAACCTTAGGAAACAAGAGAAAATCTTCTAGTTAAAAAGTTGTTTTGTAAATAAAGAATTAAGCGAATACAGCTGATATCAGTATTTAGCACTGATGAGAATATCATACATACTCATTGATGTTGAAAAATCACTATTATGGGTCGGGCACGGTGGCTCACGCCTGTAATCCCAGCACTTTGGGAGGCCGAGGTGGATGGATCACGAGGTCAGGAGTTCGAGACCAGCCTGACCAACATGGTGAAACCCCGTCTCTACTAAAAATACAAAAATTAGCCAGGCTTGGTGGTGGGCGCCTGTAGTCCCAGCTACTCAGCAGGCTGAGGCAGGAGAACGGCATGAACCTGGGAGGCGGGGCTTGCAGTGAGCTGAGACTGCACTACACTCCAGCCTGGGCAACAGAGCGAGACTCCGTCTAAAAAAAAAAAATCACTATTAAGGGCCTGGTGTTGTGGCTAATGCCTATAAACCCAGCACTTTGGAAGGCTAAGGCAGGAGGATCGCTTGAGGCCAGGAGTTTGAGACCAGCCTGGGGGCAATAGAGTGAGGCCCCATTTCTACAAAAATAAAAAATAAAAAACTTAGTCAGGTGTGGTGGCACATGTCTGTAGTCCCACCTATTAGAGTTGGGAGGCTGAGACAGGATGATCACCTGAGCCCAAAACTTCAAGTGAGTGTGGTCACGCCACTGCACTCCAGCCTGGGTAATAAAGCAAGACCCTTCCTCTATAAAAATAAATAAAAAGAAAAAAAATCACTGTTATAGCTATGATTTATATCCAGAAAAATAGGTTAATGGCAAGTTTAGGTTAGGTAAGTTTAACCTAATTAAGCTTTGCATGCTAGTAAAGCTTTGCGATAACACAACTTCCGAATTGGGGCCCTACAGTGCATTTAAACACCATTCTTTATGCTTCCACTTTGCTGAAGATCAAACATACGCATAATTTATAATTAACTCTAGGCAGCGTGTGTGTATGTTTGTGTGTGTGTGTGTGTGTGTGTGTGTGTTGGTGGAGAGGTGGGGGCAGGAAGGAAGAGTATATATACCTAAACTATTTTCCCCAATGCCCACAAAGAAGTAAGACATTTCTTGATCTATATAGAATATCGTGTGTGTGTGTGTGTGTGTGTGTGTGTATAACATACTGTGTAATTACATATAGTCTTGATTTTCTGTACTGCATCCATTGTGGGAAGGGCAGGAGATAAAATGAAAATAAGCACTTTCAAATCTTCATTATATGATCTAATTACTGGAAGTAGCCCTGTTCATTCAAAATCATAGCTACAGGTCTCAAGCACCAAATAATCTTAAAACAAAACAAAACAAAACAAAACAAAAAAAAAACCCAGAAGGTCTTTAGGGAAAAGAAAAAGGTATAAGAAAGAGAATATGTGAGCATACTAATAAAGCATTTGTAAACAATAAAATGTCTAATAATTGTATTCCAAACTATTTCTCATCCACTTCCACCCAAATATATTCACTGCATTACAAAAGTCCTAAGAACCACGTATGTAGAAAGAACACTTTCTACATATACCCAAAGTCTTGTGGAGTACGATAAGGCTATGTTGAAGAAAAGAACTGACTCTTGGAAATAAAGGAATAGAGCTTCAAATAAAACAGGATCCCTTAAACAACCAAGTGATCTGCTCCCAGGATTATCAGGAAACAAAACTAGAGAATTTATTTAGATCTAAGAGACAGAGAATTTTCCTGAGTGCTTGAAAATAAATATAAGGAAGTTCACATTCCAGTAATTCCAGGTTTGTCCCCAATACATCTGCATCACTCATTTTTCATATAAAACCCCTATAGGGAGGCATTTAGCACTTAAATAGACAAAATGTACTATGCCAACAGTGTTGGAGACTTTTCATGATCTGACTTAAAGGTAAAAATACCATGAGTATAAAAGCTGATGTTCAAAAGACAGAGTTCTTTTATATTGTAAATGTACTCATGCCAACATCTATATTAAATATCATTCTATAGACTTTTAGGGTTCCTGGGAAACACCACAGTTTTAATTTTTCAGATTAAAAGTTCAATATTGTTACCATGATGTAGCCGGGCGTGGTGGCTCATGCCTGTAATCCCAGCAGGCGTGTGCCAAGGCGGGTGGATCACGAGGTCAGGAGATTGAGACCATCCTGGCTAACATGGTGAAACCCCATCTCTACTAAAAATACACAAAATTAGCCAGGCGTGGTGGCGGGCACCTGTAGTCCCAGCTACTCGGGAGGCTGAGACAGGAGAATCGCTTGAACCCAGGAGGTGGAGCTCGCAGAGAGCCGAGATCTCGCTGCTGCACTCCACCCTGGGCAACACAGCAAGACTCCATCTCAAAAAAAAAAAAAAATTGTTACCATGGTATTACTCCTAAAAACTTTAGCTTGATACAAAAAAGGCCAGCAGAAGGAGAGAAAATCTTGTTCTTCACTAATTTCAAAATAAATCAAGCCATGAAGAGATTTCTAAAGCTGACACCCCCTTCTTTTTCCTAAAACACATATGGAAACCAGTCATGAAGGATTTTCAAATAAAAAGACTCAAAGCAATTTCAGATTTTGAAATTAAACAAAATCCAAGCCACTTAGACATATCAGTAAGACCTATTTCAAGATTTTGAGGTTTTTTTTTTTGAGGGGTGGGGTCTTTATTGAGATTTTAGGAAGCTTAATCCCCCTCTCTCCTTCCCTTCAAACATATATGTTTGAGCAAATGTAAAATAATCACTCCCCTTAAAAGTACAGGCCTACATATATTAATTTATTAGCCCCCGACAATTCCAAGGATTAACCTGTTTGAAGCTTAAAGCAGACAGGTGAGATGACTTGTTAGTAATTCTGAGAGACAGTCTTCTAACTTGCTCTCTCCTGCTGAACGCTTGAATATTAGGGGTGTGTTGGCTTAAAAGTAGCTTACAGCAGGAAAACTTCTAAAACAACACAAATCCAGACTGCCAGCAGCAAAGCACAATGGAAATTTCCTGTTCCCTCAGTAACTGACAACTTTCCCAATGCGGACCAAGAAGCAATAAACATGAGACTCCATCATGAATTCCTAATTCCTATAAACCCAACTTCATATCAAATCTCTGCAAAAAATCTGTATAACTAACAACGCAAGCTAAGTCCACAACAGTTAGCCTTTTGTCACATTTTCTGGGTATTACCATGATAGCTCCTGTTTGGTGTGACGCCTGAAACTGGTTTTTCACTCTATGATAACAAACGTTATCACTGGCAAAGAATAGAAACCTTGCTAAAGATTCAAGTCATACAATATTTATTTTCAATATTTATGTGTTTCATTAACATGCAGTAATGAATGTTAATGCTCTTTGTTACTCCCAGGTGGCTATGGAAAATATTATTAGCCATCTATATGGCAGGGATCTTACAGTTAATCATGTGGGAAGTCAGAAAACCACACCGAGCTTTGATTTCTCCAGCAGATTTTGAAACTAGCATATCAACCACAACAAGGTTACTCAAAACTGGCCTGTTGTGATGCCAAGAAAATACTTGACTTCAAAAGCAATAGATGTATTCAGGAAGCAGCTTTATTCAGTAGGCTAATTGTTAATTCCAAAATATTCTGTATTCATTACTCATAATTCAACTTAAACTTCACAGTTTAAGTTCTAAACACTGCATCTAAGTTTAACATGGACAAATAAGTAATTGCTTTTTTTATGCAAAGTCTCTTTCAATCATAAGGCTCTGATTTAAGCTATAATTTTATGTAAAATGGTGCCCAACTTGCTTAAAAGAATAATAAACATATTTGTCAAAGGATCAGAAAAATTAACACAAAATGGGGGCTTTTTCCCCCAAAATAATATTTCTTAAAAGGATTTGAGTCAATGAAAAGATGAGCTTGTTAACAGATAAAAGAATTTAATTCTGATCATCTGTCTCGTACGTGCTATATCATCGCCAAGTGATTGTTTCTCCATAGAGAAAAGGGGAAGAGTTGGGTCAAAACAGCTTTTGCTTTCAATCATGATTTATGATTTCCTCCAAAGAAAAGCACAATTTCTGCCAAGAAGAGGAAAACAAGGCTTAGCTTTCATATCAGGGGGAAAAATAACTGTAGCAACCTTTTTTGCATATAATAATCACTGTTATTTAGCCCGCTCGAGTGAAACACCAAATCAAATAAAGGAATAAGGAATCTATAGTCCTGACAGGATCTGCAGAAAATAAAGAACAAGAAAAGCCACATTTAGAGAAATCTCCAGAGCATTTTCAGCTCTCATGAGAAACAAGCAGTTATTGTGCTTTCTATGATCTATGCCACAGCAAAGAGTGCCTTTCTTCCACCATTCTATCTCTCTGAAGAAAATAATTTTTGAAAAGAACCAGGGGTGCTAGCTATTTTACAAAACCATAGAACCTTATTGTCGAAGGGGACCTGAGCCAACATCTAGGCTGAAAGCCCGAATATTTTCTGAGGCATCTCCATAAATCTTGCCACCTCCTGTCAACAGCTTGGCTCGTTTGCTTACTGGAAGGGCCTGCCTTCCATGAACGAACAAGAATGCACGCCCCACCCCAGCCTCTGTTGCCATTTGAGGTCCGTCCTCAGGGATCAAAAAATACAAGCCTATTCCTTCTTCTGCTTGGCAAGCAGGCAAATGTTTTATAATAGCAGCCCTGTCTCCCTTAACTTCCTAGGACATCACAGCCCCAGTTCTTCAAACCACTCCGAAGGGGACACAATTTCCAGACCTCTGGTGTCAGCACGATCTCCACACCCCAACACTGGGAACATTCCAATTTGGCAACATTCCTCTTAAAGTGTATGGAGTCAAGCACAAGACTCCAGATGTAGGATCTCCGACAACGTGCACAAAGGAACCATTATCTCCAGAAACTGGACACTAACTTGCATTAAATTTGCTAAACACGGTTAGATGAACTTTCCATTCACAGCAATATCACAGATTTGGCTTCTGCTGAACTACAAACCTCCAGGGAGTTTTTACCAAACCAAGTCATGTCAGTTTTCAGTTGATTTTTTTTCAAGTATATTCACAGCGTGACATACAGCTTTGTTATTTAAAGCATTATCAACTTCACTTTACCATTGTCATCGTTTGTACGGATTATTTTCTGGATTCTGACTGTCATCAGCTGTCTCTCCCAGCCTGGTTTCAACCGCAACTCCCAATCACTGATAAAAATACTGAATAAGAACCCTGTAGTGAGCACTTCTAAATTCCAAATCATTTCCTCCTAGTGTATATCTTTTTACCAAAGAAACACAAATTTTCAGAAAGCAATTGTTTTAAATGGAGGGAACAGCTTCACTAGGCTGAGAAATCTGGCGGATGGCAACATTTAAGTTAGGAATAATTGGGATGTTGGGATGAGTGTAACTGCTACAGTTTTCTTGATTACACCAGGCTGTGCATTATCCCCAGGGCTTAACAGGAATCTTAACGGGATTGTGAGCTAATGTCTAGAAGTTGCCAGTTTTAAGCCATTTACCGTAATATACATCTAAGCACTCAGTGTTAACCAGATGGGTGCTGTCAAGCAGCCCTTGGTATCAAATTAAACTTAGATGAAACACTGGCATTCCAAAAGATGCCTTTTTCTGCCCTGCTCAATTCTGTGAGACAGCAGGTTTACCCAAGGCACTTAGCAAGAGTTGCTTATAAACTGCTTCTTTAATCAGTTTTTTAAGTAACACGTATAATTCAGAAAGCATCTATTTACTCAATTGGAAGATAAAGAGGAGGGAAGAAAAGTAGGAATACTTAAGGAACCATTTGATCGTTGGCTGCAGCCAGCTTAACTCCATCTGCCTGTTCTAATAGAGGATCACCCAAAAATGTTCTAAGTATGAAGAATTACAAGAGCATTGAATTAGGGCCACATGAATGGTATGAATGGTGCCCCCTGCAGTTGTGAATGCTGAGTCCCCGAATATCGATGAGCTTCCTTGGGGGTCTTTTCCTTATCACTGGAGATAAACTTTGTAGACAAGAATTGCTTCCTATTTAATTCATAGGTCATCATTCATAAGAAACCAATTACTCCTACAGGGTCAGCCACATAACTTCAAAGCTATTGAAGGAGAACTCATCCAGCACCAGGGACTTTCCCAACACATGTCATGGTGTGTATCAGTCCCATCCACAGAGAAAGCTTCACTGGGCACTCTTGGCTCCTGCGGGGCAGGGGCAACCTATCGGTAAGACAGAAAGGGCTGCAGAAGAACCAACACAGCAGAGCACAAAACAGCATTCATCCAGAGTGTGGGTGAGCACCATCCCCGGCCCAGCTGGACTGAGTGGTGACAGTGGTGGCATTGTTGAGGGCCTGGGGAGAGATCAGACTTGTAGTTTCACTCTCTTCATGTCATCGTAAGCTTGAGTTCGTCTTTATTTTCAGTCACCCTCTATCCCCAGCCTGGGCAGTATATGGGGTCATCTGGCAATGAGTTAAGTTCAGTTATCAAATGAGTTATGTAGCAAAGATTCTTTTTCTGGCCAAACTTTAGTCAGGCTCATAAATCTTCTCCTAGGCCTCTGCGTGCACTTCCTTGTAAAATCCAAGTTTAGCAAAGAACCCTGCTAAGTCAGTTTAGCAAGAACCTCCCACTCTCGGTATCTGATCAGTCTCCTCATCCTCCACCATCCCCCAGGTGTCCGATCACCCTGGCCTATCTTCAGCAAGAATCCTGTTAGGTTAATTTAGCCAGAATCCCCCTTACCCCAACATTCCTCTTAGTATTTTTCCATCCACTGACTCCCACCCTGCTCCTTGGCTATAAATGCCCACTTGTCCATGCAATATTCAGAATCGAACGCAATCTCTCTCCCCCACTGCAAAGCCCTGTAGCAATGATCCTTTGTTCCATGCTTTAACAAGTATCATTGAATAATGTTTTCTTTAACTTAAGTTCAGAGTTATCAAATGAGTTATGTTCCGAGTTGTCAGATGGTCTTGAACCAGAGAAAAAGAGAAGAGCTTTTTCTCCCTGAGAAACATCGATTTGGAATCACAACTAGAATTCCACCTCTGGTACATAACAGTGAGTACAATTTTTCTCTCCCATCCTCAGCCCTGCCTTCTCCTTAGTCCCACCCTCAAAGTTCCATTGCAGCAGAACCTCTCTCAAACTAACCAAAACAGTTGCCTTTTGATCCAGTGTCAGCGTTCCTGACTGCAGTTCAAGACAACTTGGCTGGCCGGTGGCTCTGGAGTCGACTGTCTGGGATTACTGCAGCCAAAAGGTTTCTTGACCCCTAACCTGATAGCGGTTCAATTCTCTTCATTAACAATAAATTTCTCTATTCCAAAGACATGCAGGAGAAATGCCCGCAATACATTCTCTTTGACATGCAATCAGTGGACAATCAGAATTTAAAATATAACACCCATTTCAATTCATTGACAACAGAACTCGGAGATAAACAAATTCAACATTTACTGTTAGGCAGGCACCCTGATGAATTAGTCAGAACAAACGCTGTGTGAGAATTCATTAGAAATGTTTGAGTCAAACAAATTTTAGAGCTCAAGAAATCTGGGAATATCTAACCCATCCCCCTTGTTTTAAAGATGAGGAAACTAGGGGTCAGATGTTCTTGAAGGGGCAGACACGGACCTGGAACGCAGTCTGCTACTCAGCAATTATGATTTGATGTTCTGAAGGCTCTTTCGGTGTCTTCTAATATGGGTCTCCTTATGAACCACAGTCTGTCAAAATTTATTTTTAATGACAGGATATCTATCCATTTGTAAACATACTGTTTTATTTCAAGATGCCAGCTTGACACACAATCTTCACATCCTTTAGCAATATGTTAACTCAAAATAAAAATCATTAATTCTGTAAAAAGAATTAAGACGAACATGAAAAGCCAAGTGATTGAGTTGTTACAGAGACTTTGGCTGGCCAGTGTGTGAGCTCTCTTGGCACCGGAGACTACACGCCGTAGCCTAAAAGTTGTAGGAAGAATACCCAGCTGTTCATCTCCAGAGACTTACATTACACAATGGAACATCAAATAATTTTTTTTCTATTTTTTTGGATTTCCAAGACCTTTTATGTAGCCATCATTCTGGTTCTCAGCAACTGTCTAATTTACAATGTTCCTTTTAAACCTCCTCTGTTGCTCTTGGGAAGTGGAAAGGATGTAAACTATAAATAAAGCCAGTTCCTACTAGCTAATGCCAGGTTTAGACCTTCGTAGTACTAGTGGAGGTCAGTAACATAGGGCAACCATGATTATTTTTAGCAGCACGGTGGCCTGCGATAGAGAGATGGACACTGCCTTCTCAGTTTAGGTGCCGTCCACTTTGGGAGTGCCTGCAGACCCCCACAAGGCTGGGTTAGGTGCTCCTGGAGCACTGAGCACCTGTCTATCAGATCACACTCTTCTGGAACTCAAACCAGGTCTGTCGTGGTTATAAGTAAACTTGAACTCTTAACTACCATGGTGCAGATTGACTTTTACTACAAGCTATGTGATCTTGGAGAAGATCTCCCAAGGTCACATAACTAATCTTTGTTTCAGTTTTCTCTTTAGAAGATGGGAATAAGAGTACCTATCTCAGTTTTCACGTTTGTTAAAAAAAAAAAAATATATATATATATAAAATTAGTGCCCACCCCCAAACAAAGCACATGAAAGCACTGCCACAGAGTAAGTGAGTGATAAACACCAACCATTATTATTATTATTAATGCCACCCTTTCAAGTCTTACAAATGTTAATTGTCCTCTTATTTGTGTTTGTTTTATGTTCACCAGTTAAGACAGGATTGCAAGCCCTTACATGTGATGAGGGAAAAAACCACAAACTTTGAAATCAGCCAAGTATGGGGTAGAATCGAGGCTCTGTGACTTACCACATTTCGTTAATTTTAAAGGTTAATTTAACATCTCCAATATTGGAATGTGTCTTACAATTCGCGGTGGCACAGAGTCCATGTAGTAAGGTATAATCTCTGTTTGATCTCGGGCAAGTTATTTAATCTCTGTAAAACTGGTAATATTACCTACCTCTCTCTGAGTTGTCATAAAGCACGAATAACATATCCATACAAACCCCTAACACCATTGCATTTTGCACTCCTGTGAGTCCAGTGTCTTGTGTACAGGAGATGGTTAGGAGCTAAATAAAAATTTACATATGACTTAACAAAGCAACCCATTATCCATGTAAATGTTAAAATAGTTCCTGAATCCATTCTAGGTTAACATGTGTGAGTGTGCAGACATCCCAGCTGGAGCAGCTTACAAAAAAAATCAGGGGCTTTAAGTACAGAAACTCCATAGGGACAATGTATGGGCACCCAGAGCCCTTCACGAGGATCTGCAGCTGCTTCAAACACCCCACCCGGAGCCTTGGATTACTGCCCAGCTCCCCCATGGGGCCACTGATAGAGTCCAGCTCCCTGTTGAAGCCGAGCTCGGGTTCAAAGTTTGCCTGAGAGTATAAGAAGGTGCTTTTTACAAATTTAGTTATAACTCTTGGCATATATTAACAACAGTTTTGAGCACTTACTTCATTATGCTCCATTAAACCCTTCACAATAAGCCATTTTTCTGAGGTCCAGCATTTAAGTCACACCCTATCTGCCTGGCTTCAAAGCCTGTGTCCTTAACCACTAGGTCCTGACTCTCCGGGAGGTTACGCAACATCAGCTTACGAAAGAGGCGAAGCTCTCCCACGCTTCAAGGTCTCGCCTTCAAAACAGCCAAATAGCACTCTCCCTGGTGAGGGTGTCAGACCCTCCTACACCAGGTGAATGGGGGCCAAAGAAGGGGAGAGGGCGGGGCAGTTGTGTGTGCATAAGTGAGTGGTTCAGTAGCTTTCCAAGCCCCGCTGGAACTGCCACTTTCCTAGGACCCCAGCTGGTCCTAACCGGCAATGTTTTTTATTTTATCTTTTCCCATTTCTCTGTTCTTGATTTATTTCCCATATCTCCAGGCAACACCCTGCAGATCACTTCTGGTTCTTCCTTTTCTTGATAGACTTCCTTCATTCTTCTTTTTTTTTTTTTTTTAATTCTGGTTCTTCAAAAGTTTCTTTCCCAACAACAATTATTTCTCTCTGCATAGTACACACTTCCTGGCCAACAAATTCTTCTTTATTCATTCTTTGCAGACGTGAGTCACAATGAAAAGTCATAGTTGGAGATTCCTCATCCGGACTGTAGAAAAGGTCATGTCCCTAACTCCAGAATGCCAATGATAAAGGCACACGTACAGGCATGTTAGAAAGATGGAGAAGTCAGAGGAAGATGTGCACAAAGTTAAATCGCTCTGCCCTTTCTACTATCAGATCATCACCAAACACTCGTGGGATCACACTGAGAAGGATCATCCAAGTCAAGAGCTGCAGAAGAAATGGTGCACATATTCAAGAGTCTCACCTTTAGCCTTTCCTCTACAGCAGAATCACTATGCTACATTAATTTCCTTCTCATCTGATGACTTCTTGAGAGCTTTTTAGTTTCTGCATCTCCTATTTCTAGCCAATGCAATAAACCAGCTGGCAGATTATCCCCTTCACATCCAATGACCAAATCATCACATCTCTCCAAGAGGTTCAGAGGTGGGTGTTTTTATACAGAACCTGTCACCATGGCAGCTTGACTCTCTTCAGTTTCTGAATTAGGAACAGTGACCTACTTATATTTCTACTACACCCATAATGGAAACAGGTTAGTAATATCTTCCAGGACTTGACATTACGGAGCTTCCAGGTGGCAATGCAGATAAAGGCAAAGAATACACAGAGTCCAGGGGGCTCACTGGGAAGCGAAGTCCATGGTCTGAACACACACCCCCGATCACCTTTGCTCTATGCCACGACGAAGTCATCAGGCTTCCCCACCTCCAGTCCCCAAAATACACTCAAACTACTCAGATGATGGAGGAGCACAACCCATTGCCTCCTTCACTTACTAGAAGGCAGAAAATGCAGAAGAAAAACCATGTTGCCTTTTACAGATATGACTTAATCTGCAGTTGGGAAAGAGATTAGGTATAACTTTGGCTTTGTCTACTCATCCCACTTATACAACAAACCATGCCAGTTTTAGACATTTGTTCAGTGCAACTGGCTTTCGGAAATGCCAGAAAATTGATTCTTCCCTACCCCCGCCAAAGCATATTGACTTATCCTTTGGCAATTTAACTCCTAAATCATTATCCTCGACTATGACTAAAATATCACATAAGGTGATTCAGGAACCAAAGCTATAACCTCCTATATTTGCCTTCCATCCCCAGGGCCCCCTGGAAGGTTCTAAGTCTGAGTTTGTGTGCCTCACTCACTTGCTTGCCTTTTGTTACGGCGACCCATTCAACTGCATTTATATACACATAGGATGAATATTCTGAACGTGCAGTAATTCATGCTTGGGGAAAATTATTCAATTATGGGTCAGTCATTTCACAAATATAGAGGCTAAGCCCTGTTACACCGTAATCAGGTGTACATATTATCCAAGGATCTCATAAACTTCCAAGAGGCTGGAGATCTGTTTATTTAATAGTTCACAAAGCAGTTATAATCTCTTCCCTCAGTTTTGCTAAGGGATCCAGACTTTCTAACTTTCCATATAAAGGGACTTGCCATATGCCGGGCATTTGGCGCTACCCACTTGTTTCTTTCTCAAAGGGTTAGATTCTTTGGGACAGTATAGTAGACACTATATTGCTCCACCCAGACGTCCTTTTTAGGGCCAATACACCCATCCCCAGCTGCTGATGGTTCACAAGGAAGGTCCTCAGCCAGCTGCAGGACACAGCCTCACCCAAAGTGATACCCCCAGAAGGGGTGGCCAGTTGCCAGGAATTAGCTGATGTAGGCAAACAAAAGTCCAGCCCCTTGCTCAAATGGGGACAGCTCTGAAGAACCATCCAGCGCTCCCCATAGAAGTGGCTGGGGTCTCAGACGCAACCACATTTGCCAGTCAGCTTCTCCTCTGCCCAATCTTGCCTTGTTCCTTCCTTACAGGTGTCTCCTGAGAGCTCACCCCCAAAATCCTTCAGCACCCCACTCCTGGTCTCAGAGTCTGCTTCTAGGGAACCTAATTTAAGACCAGCAGCAGTTTTCTAAGATAACTAATGCAGAGCATTATTTTTCTAATTGTACGAGGAAGTCACAGGCTCCTTCAGAGGCCCTACAAAGGCTGATAACCGTCTTTGAAAAATACTCGTCATACAGCCACTCAGTTTAAAAACTACACATTTTTGATATTCAGCTCAGATCACTTTCTGAACACCAACCCAGTCAACAGGGACAGGAGTTAATGCACAGGAATACAGCAAGTTCACAAGTAAAGGCGGCGAGACCTAGCAAAGGTAGTGATTTGCTTGTCCCAACATCATGTGGCATTGAAAACTGCCACCAGAGCAAAGGAGGCCACATCTGGGGTTCCCAACCTTAACCATCAGAGTATGGCTGCCCACAAAAGACATATTTACTTTATAACCTCAAATCCTAGCAAATCTTCATTCTAAAGCTACCCGGCAAGAACAGTTCCACCTAAGTATGAAACTGAGTCCTGAACACTTTATTCATAACATTCCAAACTGGTTATTTGTTTTTGTTTTTTGAGGCAGGGTCTCACTCTGTCTCCCAGGCTGGAGTACAGTGGTGCAATCGTGGCTCACTGTAGCCTCAACCTCCTGAGCCCAAGTGATCTTCCCACCTCATCCTCCCTGGTAGCTGGGACAACCATGCCTGGCCAGTTTTTTGCATTTTTTGTAGAGATGGGGTTTCACCATGTTGCCCAGGCTGGTCTCGAACTCCTGGGCTCAAGTGATCCACCCACCTCAGTCTCCCCAAAATGCTGGGATTACAGGCATGAACCACTGCAGCCAGCCAATGTTCCAAACTTTTAAGAACAGGGAACAATTCCTGTGTAACTGATAGATGAATGATGACTTTGTAGAATTTACTGCATTCCCAAGAAAGGGGATTGCAGACAGGCCAATGCAGGAATCAGGAGCTCCTGCTATTGTCTTGCCCAGGAGACAGCACTATCTTCCAAAAAACTTCAAGGGAACTACCTGGCATCCAAACAGGCTCCAGTCTAGTTTAGGGTACAGGGATGGAATTAGAGTCACAGGCCTGGAAGTCAGTGGAAAAGCAGGTGCTTTTACCAGAGGTTTGGGTGAGGATGTCTAAAATGTAGCTAATGTACTCCATATAAAAACTCAAAAATCACACTATTATTTAATTTTTTACAGCATTTTACATGTGATCTCATTTGATCCTTAAAGCCCTCCCAGTGAGGGCTGGGCTGGTATCGTTCTAACAATTTTATAACTGCTTAAGTGACTTGCCCAATATCACACAGCTAATCAATGTAGGGATCAGAGTGCCAGATTCTTAGTTGAGGCTTCTTTCCCACAACAATCTGCCAATTCGCAACTTATCTACATGTTTCTCCAGGCATGTGTACCAAGCCCCCAAAACTTGGCTCCCTCCTCCCTTTGTGACTCCCACCTTCATACCACAGATTAATATTTCACAGGAACAAGAACTATCAATGGCACAAGGTCCTGGACAGGGCCGCAGATCACCGTCAAAGGTTGCTCTCTCTTCTTTCTCAATGACTCTACAATCCAGACCCTCCATTAATGGAGACTATAGCTTCTGAAGTACAGCTGACAAGAGGCTGAGGGGATCAAGTTATACGACTACCGTGTCCAACATCTCTGACTAATCTGGTTCACCTCAGTCGCATACACTGAGAGGCGGCCGGTTGGGGGAGAAGAGAAAGCTTTAAACAGCACACCAATTTCTTAGACACACTAACCGTTCCTAGGAAAGCCTTCTGTCCCTAGTCCACGGGTTTTGCCTACTGTTATTTGAGGCACTTGGAGGATTTTACTCTTGCCAAGTTGGCATTTGTTTCTGCAGTGCAAAAATGTCTGGACTGAAGAGATCACATGGAGATTTCTATGCTTCAGGAACACAGGCAAGCATCTCTCTGCCTCAGGTAGATGCATTATAGCTCGTGGGAGTGCTAATGAGCACTAATTACTCTATTTACTCCCTGAGCCAACCAGCCAGCAACAAGAAATCCCTGGTGAAACTTGCTGGGTTCTCATATGTACTATCCTGGCTCTGTTTCAAAGGGCTGGTGACAAAGTGATTTGAAGGGATCAGCATGAGGCTACCCAACTGGATTGTTATCTCAGGATCACTAGGCTTATTTTTTTTCTTATTATACTTAAGTTCTGGGATACACGTGCAGAACGTGCAGGATTGTTACATAGGCATACATGTGCCATGGTGATTTGCTGCACCCATCAACCCGTCATCTACATTAGGTATTTCTCCTAATGCTATCCCTCCCTTTGCCCCCCACCCCTCCAACAGGCCCCAATGTGTGATGTTCCCCTCCCTGTGCCCATATGTTCTCATTGTTCAACTTCCACTTATGAGTGAGAACATGTGGTGTTTGGTTTTCTGTTCCTGTGTTAGTTTGCTGAGAATGATGGTTTCCAGCTTCATCCATGTCCCTGAAAGGACATGAACTCATTCTTTTTTATGGCTGCATAGTATTCCATGTTGTGTATGTGCCACATTTTCTTTATCTAGTCTATCATTGATGGGCATTTGGGTTGGTTCCAAGTCTTTGCTATTGTGAATAGTGCTGCAATAAACACACGTGTGCATGTATCTTTATAGTAAAATTACTTATAATCCTTTGGGTATATACCCAGTAATGGGATTGCTGGGTCAAATGGTATTTCTAGTTCTAGATCCTTGAGGAATCGCCACACTGTCTTCCACAATGGTTGAACTAATTTACACTCCCACCAACAGCGTTCCTATTTCTCTACATCCTCTCCAGCATCTGTTGTTTCCAGACTATTTAATGATTGCCATTCTAACGGGCGTGAGATGGTATCTCATTGTGGTTTTCATTTGCATTTCTCTAATGATCAGTGATGATGAGCTTTTTTTCATATGTTTGTTGACCACATAAATGTCTTCTTTTGATTAGTGTCTGTTCACATCCTTTGCGCACTTTTTGATGGGGTTGTTTGTTTTTTTCTTGTAAATTTGTTGAAGTTCTTTGTAGATTCTAGATATTAGTCCTTTGTCAGATGGATAGATTGCAAAACTTTTCTCCCATTCTGTAGGCTGCCTGTTCACTCCGACGACAGTTTATTTTGCTGTACGGAAGATCTTTAGTTTAATTAGATCCCATTTGTCAATTTTGGCTTTTGTTGCCATTGCTTTTGGTGTTTTAGTCATGAAGTCTTTGCCCATCACTAGGCATATTTTTTAGTCCTTTGTATCCTGTCAGTTAATAGTCAAGTCAGTACCAAGTTTGTTTGTCCATTCTCTCCTAACCATTATCACCACAAACACCTCTGCCTCCAAATGTCCACTTTGGCTGCAAATTTAAAAATCAGGGGGGACATGATGGCTCATGCCTATAATTTCAGCACTTTGGGAGGCTGAGACAGAAGGATCACTTGAGCCCAGGAGTTTGAGACCAGCCTGGATAATACAGCCAGACCTTATGTCTAATTAAAAAATCAAAAAATTAGTTGGGCATGGTGGTGTGCATCTGTAATCCCAGCTACTTGAGAGGCTTAGGTGGGAGGATAGCTTGAGCCTGGAGGTTGAGGCTGCAGTGAGCTATGATCACGACACTGCACTCCAGCCTGGACAACAGAGTGAGACCTTGTCTTAAAAAAAAAAAAAAAAAAGCAGGGGCGGGGTGGGGGGCTGGGAAAAAAAGACAAGCAACAGGCTTGAAATTTTAGGAAAAGAATTTCCTACTGACTATTACAATTGGGTGAGGCATTTCACAACGTCCTGCACTCAGCTTGCAAACGTTATAAGATTTAGCCAACGGTATGCTCAATTTGATCCTTGAACTCTAAACATGACAGGAAACTTAGAAATCATGTAAATTTCACATAATCACTGACCTTAACTGTATCTATGTTTTAGGTGAAGCATATACATGGCGTGAATTATATTAAAACTCTAATTTATAAACTTGTATAAATCATATAAAAAAGACTTTCTCCTCATTGTCTCTCCCTTCCTACCAAAAGGTGGAAAAAATGAAAAAACCATAGGGCAACGGATCTAAAGTTCCCAGAACAGATGTAAGAATGTTAACCCTTAACCCAATAAAGCCCCACTTACATTAGCATAACTTCATATTCTAATACTAAGTTGATTTCTTATTGAAAATGCAACCATGGTAGCAGGGATAAAAAAATAAGAAGGTCCAGGACACATTTAAAGAGGATTCCCAAAGGGTATTTTTAACTCCATAGAAAAAAGACTGCATTGGATTATAATTCTAAATTAAAGTATTTATAGTAGTTACTTGGCTCAATTTATTAAAATGAAAAAGCCTAAATAAACACACATTATACATTCAATGGCAAGACAACCTCATGTTGAAATTCTTCAGGCAAAAATGATTTAATTTCAGGGAGTTTTTTTTATGTGGTTGAACAAGGTCTGGCGTAAAGACCCATCAAATCTAACCTAACTTTTAGATGGGATGAAAAATAAAAATTTACTTAGCAACTTGCCTCCCCTGGGTTATGTAACAGATTTGTCTTTTCTCATGAGTTTCTACAATCTTCTTTTTTAATGTTGCTCTGGTACCTGAATGTTTATGAAGCCTAGGCAAGTAACAACTCCATGAATGATGCCAAAAATCTCAACTATGTGTAAGAGAAGGGTTATTGCCCTTCAAGAGAGCCGTCTGTGCTTTTTACATGAACACGTAGACAAAACATGTTTTGCCTACGAGCACAATCCTAAGCTGAGGAGTCATCACGCAATTCTCTAAGCATAAGGATTTGAGAGATGCAGATGACTTATCCAC